>NC_000024.10:11671820-11673795 GCF_000001405.40 Homo sapiens | reverse complement strand
TATTCCATTCCACTCCATTCGATTCTATTCCGTTCCATTTGATTCCATTCCATTCAATTCCTTTCCATTCCATTCCATCCCATCCATTCGTTTCCATTCCATTCAACTCCATTCCACTCTAGTCCATTCCATTCGAGTCCATTCCATTTCAATCCATTAAATTGGAGTCCATTCCATTCGACTCCATTTCATTCGAGTCCCTTCCATTCCCTTGTATTCCATGCCGTTCGATTCCATTCCGTTAGATTCCATTTTGTTCCAGATTTTTCTATTCAAATCCATTCCATTCCAGTGCATTCACAACGAATCCATTCCATTTGAATCCATTCCATACTATTCCATTCCACTCGATTAGACTCCTTTCCATTCCATTGCATTCCATTATATTCAATTCCATTGCATTCCATTTCATTCCATTTGATTACATTCCATTCTATACCATTCCATTCGAATCAATTATGTTGCTGTCCATTACATTCGAGTCCATTTTATTCCAGTCCATTCCATTCCGATTCATTCCATTCAATTCCTTTGCATTCGATTCCTTTCCAAACTACTGCATTCCATTCGATTCCATTGGATTCGAATAAATTCCATTGGAGACTATTCCATTCGATTCCTTTCTATATGAGTCCATTCCATTTGTGTCCATTATATTTGGTTCCATTCCTTTTCATTCCATTCACTTCGATGCCATTCCATTCAATTCTATTCCATTCGAGTCCATTCGATTCGACTACACTACATTCCATTCTATTCCATTCCATTCCACTCCATTCCATTTGATGTCATACCAATGAATTTTATTCCATTCGTCTCCATTCCATTCCATTCTGTTCCTTCCGATTCCATGCCATTCTATTCCTTTGAATTCCATTCTATTCCATTCCACTGTTTTCCATTCCTTTAGAGTCCATTCCAGTCCAGTCCATTCCGATCAATTCCATTCCTTTCGATTCCTTTCCATTCCATTCCATTACATTCGATTCCACTCCGTTTCATTCCATTGCATTCCATTCTATTCCTTTCTATTGCATTCGATTGCATTCCATTTGAAAAATTTCTATTTAATTCAATTCCATTCGAATGAAATACATTGCAGTCCATTACGTTCGGGTCTGTTCGATTCCACTCTATTCCATTTCATTCTGTTCTGTTCGATTCCAATCCGTTTGATCCATTTTTTTCCATTCCATTCCATTCGAGTCCATTCCATTACGGTCTATTCCCTATGATTGAATCCTATTCGATTCCATTCCATTCGATCCCATTCCACTCCTTTTTACTTCGTTCCATTCCATTGCACTCTATTATATTCAATTCCCTGGCAATCCATTCCATTCCATTGCATTCTATTCCATTTGATTCCATTCCAAACTATTGCATTCTTTTCGATTTCATTCTATTCGAACAAGTTCCATTCGAGACCATTCCTTTCGAGTACATTGTATTTAATTCAAATCAATTCGAGTCCATTACATTTGGGTCCATTCCATTCCATTCTATTCCATTCCTTTCTATGCCATTCCATTCGATTCTATTCCTTTTGAATCCATTCCATTCGAGGCCTTTCATTTCTTTCCATTCTATTACTTTCGATGTAATTGCATTGGTTTCAATTCCATTCAACTCCATTCCATTGCATTCCGTTCCATGAGTTACCATTCCGTTGCATTCCATTTCATTCCATCCCATTCCATTTGTTTCCATTCCTTTTGAGTCCATTCCTCTCCAGTCCATTCCATTAGAGTCTAATCCATTCCAGTCTATTCCTTTCAACTCCATTCCTTTCTATTCCATTCCATTCGATATCTTTGCTTTACACTCCATTCCATTCTTTTCCTTTCAATTTTATTCAATTCCATTCCATTGGATTCCATTCGATTTGATTCCATACCATTCGACTCCATTACATTTGACTCCGTTCCTTTATAGTCCAGTCTATTCCATTACCTTCCCTTCCATTCGATTACCT
>NC_000024.10:11670088-11671800 GCF_000001405.40 Homo sapiens | reverse complement strand
TATTGCATTTTATACTATTTCATTCCATTGTAATCCTTTCAATTCCTTTTGATTTCATTCCATTTGATTCCAAGGCATTTGAATCAATTACATTTCTGTACGTTACATTCGAATCCATTCTATTCCTGTCCATTCCATTCTGGTATATTCCATTCAATTCCATTCCATTCGATTCCATTCCATATTATTGAATTACTTTCTATTCCTTCTTATTTGAATAAATTATAGTCGAGACCATTCCTTTCTCGTCCATTCTATTTGAGTCTACTCCATTCAATTCCATTACATTTGGGTCCATTCCATCCCATTCGATCCGATGCCATTCCATTCGATTCTATTCCATTAGAGTCCATCCCATTCGAGTCCATTCTATTTTATTCGATTCGATTCGATTCGATTCCATTCCATTCCATTCCATTTTATTCCTTTCCATTCCATTCCACCCCAGTAGATGCCATTCCATTCTATTCTATTCCATTCAACTCCATTCCATTCCATTCCGTTCCACTGATTCCATTCCATTCTATTCCTTTCCATTCCATTCCATTCAATTCCATTCCTCAGCAGTCCATTCCATTCGGGTCCATTCCTTTGCTTTCCATTGCATTCGAGTCCATTCCATTCCATTCCACTCCAATACACTCCATATGTTTCCATTACACTCCATTCCGTTGTATTCCTTTTGCTTCCGTTAAATTTCATTCCATTCAATTCCATTCCATACGATTCCATTTCATTTGACTCAATTCCATTCGAGTCAAATGTATTCCTTTCCATTCCATTCTGTTCTGTTCGATTCCAATCCGTTTGACTCCATTTTGTTCCAGTCCATTCCATTCGAATCTATCACATTGCAGTCCATTTCATTGATTCCATTCCATTCAATTCCTTTCCATTCGATTCCTTTCCATTCAATTCCACTCCGTTCCTTTCCATTTCATTCCATTCTATTCCATTTAATTGCATTCCATTCCATTCCATTTGATTATATTCCACTCGATTCCATTCCATTTGAATCAATTAAATTGCAATGCATTACATTCGAGTCCGTTCTATTCCTGTCCATTCCACTCTGATCAATTCCATTCCATTCCGTTGCATTCGATATCTTTGCATTACAATCCATTCCATTCTATTTCTTTTGATTTCTTTTAATTAAATTCGATTCCATTGCGTTCGATTACATTCCATTCATTTCCATTCCATTTGATTCCGTTCCATTCCTTTCCGTTCGGTTTCAATCCACTCGATTCCTTTTTGTTCCTGTCCATTCCATTCTAATCCATTCAAGTCCATTTAAATCTAGTGCATTCCACTCGATTCCCTTCCATTCAATTACATTTCGTTCAATTCCATTAAACTCGTTTCCACTCCGTTCCATTCCATTGCACTCCATTCCATTCCATTGCATTGCATTCCATTGCATTACATTCCAATCCATTCTTTTTGATTTCACTCCATTTTATTCCACTCCATTCGAATCAATTATTTTGAAATACATTACATTCGAGTCCTTTCTATTCCAGTCTAATATCTTCTGGTACATTCCATTCGATTCCATTCCACACTATTGCATTACATTTGATTCCATTCCATTCCATTCGATTCCATTCCATACTATTGCATTTCACTTGATAGCATTCTATTCGAATAAATTTCATTCAAGGCAATTCTTTTCTATTCCATTATATTTGAGTCCATTCATTTCCATT
>NC_000024.10:11664006-11669948 GCF_000001405.40 Homo sapiens | reverse complement strand
CATTCCTTTCTATTCTATGTCTTTCCATTCCACTCCATTCCATTCTATTGCTTTCAATTCTATTCAATTCCAATGAATTCGATTCCATTACATCCATTCCATTACATTTGAATAAACTCCGTTCGAAACCATTCAATTCCATTCGATCTCTTTCCTTTACACTCCATTCCATTCTATTCCCTTCGATTCCATTCTATTCGATTCCATTCCGTTCAGTTCCATTCCATTCGTGTTCAATCCATTCCATTCCCTTCCTTTCGATATCTTTCCATTACACTCCATTCCATTCTATTCCTTTCAATTGCATTCAATTCCTTTCCATTCAATTCCATTCCATTCAATTCCAATCCATTCGACTCCATTCCATTCGAGTCCATTCCATTCCATTCCTTTCCGTTTGTTTCCAATCCGTACGATTCCATTTTTTTCCAGTCCATTCCATTCGATTTGATTCAATTCCAGTCCTTTCCATTCGATTTCAGTCCATTCAAATCCACTCTATTCCATTCAATTCCACTGGATATCTTTAATTACACTCCTCTTTATTCTATTCCTTTCGATTCCATTCAATTCCATTCATACAGTTCCATTCCATTCAACTGCTTTCCATTAGAGTACATTCCCTTCCATTCCCTTCCATGCCATTCGATTCCAATCCGTTTGATTCCATTTTGTTCCAGTCCGTTCCATTCGAGACCATTCCAATCGATTCCATTCCATTCAATTGCATTCCATTCGATACCATTCAATTCAATTACATTCCGTTTCATTCCATTGCATTCAATTCTATTCCATTCCATTGCATTCTATTCCATTCCATTTGATTATTTTCCGTTCGATTCCATTCCATTCGAATCAATTACATTGCAGTCCATTTCATGCGAGTCCATTCTATTCCAGTCCATTCCGTTCCAGTCCATTCCATTTAATTCCGTTCCATTCTATTCCATTCCATACTATTGCTTTTCATTCAATACTATTCTATTCGAATATATTCCATTCCAGGCCTTTCGTTTCGAGTCCATTTTATTTCTCCATTCCATTCGAGTCCATTATATTTAGGTCTATTCCATTTCACTCCATTCCATTCCATTTCATTTCATTCCATTCCATGCCATTCCATTCCATTCTATTCCATTTGACTCCATTCCATTTGATTCCATTCCATTCGATGCCATTCCATTCGATTCTATTCCATTTGACTATATTCCTTTCTATTCCAATCTTTCCAATTCCAAACCATTCCATTCCATTCAATTCCATTCAATGCCATTCCATTTGGTTTTATTCCATTTGTTTCCATTCCAATTGAGTCCATTCCATTTCATTCCATTCAATGCCATTCCATTGGATTGAATTCCATTCGACTCCATTCCATTCCATTCAGTTCTATCCAATTCCATTACTTTCTATTCCTTTACATTCCATTGCATTCCATTCCATTGCAATCCATTCGTTTCCTTTTCATTCAAGTCCATTCCTCTCCAGTCCATTCCATTCGACTCCATTGCATTCCATTCCATTCCATTGGAGTCCAATCCATTCCATTTCATTCGGTATCATTCCATTGCACTCCTTCCTGTTCTACTCCTTTCAATTCCATTCAATTTCATTCCATTCAATTTCATTCCATTTTATTTCATTCCATTCGATTCCATTCCATTCGATTCCATTCCACTTGATTACACTGATTTCCAATCCCTTGCATTCCATTCAATTCCTTTCCATTGTATTCCATTAATTTCCATTTAATGCCATTCCGTTCCATTCCATATCATTCGAATCAATTTCATTGCAATACATTACATTCGAGTAAGTTCAATACCAGTCCATTCCATTCAATTAGATTCCATTGCATACTATTGCGTTCTATTTCATTCCATTCTATTCAAATAAATTCCATTCGAGAGCATTCCTTTTGAGTCCCTTCCATTTGATTCCATTCCATTCGTGTCCATTACATATGGGCCCATTCCATTCCATTCCATTTGATTCCATTTTTTTCCAGTCCATTCCATTTTTGTCCCTTCCATTCCAGTCCATTCCTTATGATTCTATTCCATTCGATTCCATTCCAGTTGATTCTATTCCGTTCCATTCCTTTGCATTCCATTCTATTCCATTCCAATGCATTCCATTCCATTGCGTTCCATTCCATTCCACTTGATTACATTCCTTTCAATTCCAACGCACTCAATTTAATTACATTTCCTTCCATTAATTTCAACTCCGTTCTATTCCACTCCTTAACTTTCCGGTCAAGTCAATTCGATTCCATCCCATTCAATTACTTTAGAAACTATTGCATTACTTTCGATTCCATTGTATTCGAGTAAATTCCATTGGGACCATTCTTTTTGAGTCCATTCTATATGAGTCCATTTCATTCGAGACCATTACATTTGGGAACATTCCTTTCCATTCCATTCCATTCCTTTCCATCCCATTCAACGCTTTTCCATTTGATTGTATTCCATTTAAGTCCATTTCATTCCATTCCATTCAATTTCATTCGATGTCATTCCTTTCGATTCTATGCCATTTGACTCCATTCCATTCTATTATGTTCCATCTGATTCCATTACATTCCATTCTAATCCTTTCCATTCCATTCCACTCGTTTCATTTCCTTTCGAGACCATTCCATTCCAGTCCATTGCATTGTAGTCCATTCCATTCCATTCCGTTCCATGTGATATCTTTCCATTACACTCCATTCCATTGTATTCCTTTCGATTCCATTAAATTTTAATCCATTCCTTTCCATTCCATTCGATTCCATTCCAGTCGACTCCATTCCATTGGAGTCCATTCCTTCCCATTCCATTCCATTCCACTCCGTTCCATTAGACTCCAATCCGTTCGGTTCCATTTTGTTCCAGTCCATTCCATTCGAGTCCATTCCAAACAAGTCCATTCCCTGCGTTTCCATTCCATTCGATTCCATTTGATTCGATTCCATTCCAGTCTATTCCACTTCGTTCCATTCCATTGCATTCCATTGTTATGTATTCCATTGCATATCATTCAATTCCTTTTGATTACATTGCACTCGATTTCATTCCATTCAAATCAATTGCGTTGTAATCCATTACATTCATGTAAATTCTATTTCAGCCCATTCCATTCCGGTCCATTCTATTTAATTCCATTCCAATCTATTGCAGTCTATTATATTCCATTCTTTTCGAATAAATTCCATTGGAGACCATTCATTTCGAGTACATTCTATTTGAGTCTTTTCCATTCGAGTCCATAAATTTTGGGTAAATTCCATACCATTGCTTTCGATTACATTCCATTCCAATCAATTCCATTCGATACCATTCCATTAGATTCTGTCATTCAAGTCCATTCCTTTCAATTCGATTCCATTCCATTCCATTCCATTCCATTCCATTCCATTCGATGCCAATATATTTGATTCTATTCCATTCGACTTCATTCCATTCCATTCCTTTCCATCCGATTCCATTCCATTCTACTCTTTCCATTCCATTCCAGTCCATTCTTCTCGAGTCCATTCAATTCCATTACATTACATTTGAAATCTTTCCATTACACTCCATTCCATTCTATTCCTTTCAATTCCATTCAATTCCATTCCATTTGATTCCATTCCATTCGACTCCATTCCATTCGAGTCCATTTCATTCCATTCCATTTTGTTCCGTTTGATTCCTATCCAATCGATTCCATTTTGTTCCACTCCATTCCATTCGAGTCCCTTCCATTAGAGTCCATTCCATTTGATTCCATTCCTTTTGATCCCTTTCCATTCGATTCCATTCCATGCGATTCCAATCCGTTCCTTTCCATTGGATTACTTTTTATACCATTCCACTGATTTCGTTTCCATTCCATTTTTTTATTCCTTTCGATTACATTCCATTCAAATCCATTTCATTGCAATCCATTTCATTCGAGTGCATTCTATTCCAGTCCATTTCATTCCAGTCCATTCCATTTGATTCCATTCCATTCTATTGCATTCCATTGGATTCCATTCTTTTTGAATAAATAACATTAGATTGCATTTCTTTCGAGTCCATTCTATTTGAGTCCATTGCATTCGAGTCCTTTACATTTGTTTCCATTCCATTCCATTCCTTTCCATTCGATGCCATTCCATTCGATTCTGTTCCATTGAAGTCCTTTCCTTTCAAGTACTTTCCATTCCATTTCACTCTATTCAATTCAAAGAACTTCAATTCAATTCTATTCCATTCGACTCCATTCCATTCCATTCTGGTCCATCCGATTCCATCCCTTTGTATTCATTTCCATTCCATTCTTTTCCATTCCATTCAAGTCCATTATATTGCAACCCATTCCATTCGAGTCCATCCCATTCCATTCCTTTACATTCGATATCATTCCTTCACACCCCATTCCATTCTATTCCTTTCGATTCTATTCATTTTCATTACATTCGATTCCATTCCATTTGACTCCATTCCATTGGACTCCATTCCTTTTGATTCCCTTCCATTCCATTCCATTAAATTCGATATTTTTCCATTGCACTCCATTCCATTCTATTCCTTTCGAATCCATTGAATTCTATTTTTTCGAATCCATTCTATTCGGTTACATTCCATTTGACTCCACTCCATTCGATTCCATACCATTCCATTCCATTCTATTCCGTTCCATTCGAATCCAGTGTGTTCGAATCCATTTTTTTTCCAATCCAGTCCATTCGTGTCCGTTTCATTCCGGTTCATTCCATTTGATTATATTCCATTCGATTCCATTCCACTAGATTCCATTCCACTCAATTCCACTCCATTCCATGTTATTACCTTCCATTCTATTCCATAATATTGCATACCATTCCATTCCATTTGAATCCATTTCAATCAAATCAATTAAATTGCAATCCATAATATTCGTGTCCATTCTATTCCGGTCTATTCCATTTGATTCCATTCCATTCGATTCAATTCCATACTATTGCTGTCCATTCAATTCCATTCCATTTGAATATATTCCAAGTGTGACCATTCTTTTGAGTCCATTCTATTTGAGTCTATTTCATTCGAATCAATTACATTTGGGTCCATTCCATTCCATTCAATTCAATACTATTCCTTGCCATTCTATTCCATTCGAATCAATTCCTTTTGAGTCCATAACATTACCTTCCATTCCATTCCATTCCTTTCTATGACATTCCATTCAATTCTATTCCACTGAACTCTATTCAATTCCATTCCATTCCACCCGTTTCCATTTCATTCTATTCCTTTCCATTGCATTCTATTCCATTCCATTCTGTTCCAATCAATTCCAATCCGTTCGATACCATTTTGTTTCAGACCAATGCATTCGGGTTCATTCTACCGTAGTCCATTCCATTCGATTCCATTCCATTCCATTCCATTTCTGTCGATTCCATTCCACTCTATTCTACTCCATTCCTTTCCTTTGAATTCCATTCTCCTCCATTCCATAGTATTCCATTCCATCCCTTTTGATTACATTCCTTTTGCTTCCTTTTCATTCGAAACAGTTACATTGCAATCCATTATATTCGAGTCTGTTCTATTCCAGTCCACTCCATTCCATTCTATTCCATTCGATTCCATTCCATGCTATTGCATTCCATTCGATTCGATTCTATTCGAACAAATTCAATTTGATATCATTCTTTTCAGGTCCATTCTCTTTGAGTCCATTCCTTTCGAGTCCATTACATTTTGGTCTATTCATTTCCATTCCATTCCATTCCATTGCATTCCATTTCATTACACTGCATTGCATCATATGTCATTCCATTCCATTCAATACCATCCGACTCCATTCCATTTGATTCCAACCTTTTTGACTCAATTCCAATCGAGTGCTTTCCACTACATTCCATTCCATTCCATTCCATTCTATTCCATTAGAGTCCATTCCGTTCCAGTCCATTCTATTCCAGTGCACTCCATTCCATT
>NC_000024.10:11662181-11663986 GCF_000001405.40 Homo sapiens | reverse complement strand
TTTGAGTCCATTGATTCCATTCTATTCCATTCCATTCGATTCCAATACGTTGGTTTCCATTTTGTTTCAGTGCATTCCATTCGAGTCCATTCTGTTCCAGTCCATTCAAATCCAGTCCATTCCATTGATTTTAATTCCTTTTGATTCCATTCCAATCGATACCACTCTGTTCCATTCCATTTTATTCCATTTTATTACATTCCATTGCACTGCATTATATTCCTATATTCCATACCATTTCATTCCATTCAATTCCATTCACTTGCATTCCATTCCTTTCCATTTGAAAACATTCCCTTCAATGCCATTCAATTCGTAGCAATTACATTGCAATCCATTACATTCCAGTCCGTTCTACTCCAGTCCATTCCATTCCGGTCAATTCCATTTGATCCCTTTCCATTCGATTTCGTTACATACTATTGCATTCCCTTCATTTCCAGTTGATTTGAATAAATTCCATTCGAGACCATTCCTTTCGAGTCCATTCTATTTGAATCCAAGCCATTCGTGTCCATTAAATTTCTGTCCATTTCATTCCATTCCATTCCATTCAATGCCGTTCCATTGGATTCTATTCCATTCGAACCCATTGCATTCGAGTGCATTCCATTCCATTCCATTCGATGCCATTCCACTTGATTCTATTCCATTCGAATCCATTCCATTCAATTAGAATCCATTCCATTCCATTCCGTTCCTTCCGATTCCATTCCATTCTTTTCCTTTCCATTCCATTCCCTTCCGATCCATTCCATGCCATTTGTTACCATTCCATTCTAGTCTTTTCCACTCCACTCCATTCCATTCTAGTTCATTCTATTCCAGTACATTGCCTATGAGTCCATTCCATTCCATTTTTTAAATTAGATTCTATTCCATTATATTACTTTCGATTCCATTCAATTCCATTCCATTCCATTCCAATCGATTCCACTCCAATCGACTCCATTCCGTTCGAGTCCATTCCATCCCATTCCATTCCATTCTGTTATTTCCAATTCCTATCCGCTTAATTCCATTTCGTTCCAGTCCATTACATTCGTGTCCATTCCATTCGAGTCCATTCGATTCCAGTCCATTCCATTTGATTCCATTCTGTTTGATTCCATTCCATTAGATTCCATTCCAATCGATTTCTCTCTGTTCCTTTCCATTTCTTTCCATTCAATTTCAGTCCACTGCATTCCATAACATTCCATACCATTCTATTCAATTCCTTTCTATTTGAGCCAATGGCTTTGCAATCCATTACCTTTGAGTCCGTTCTATTCAAGCCAGTTCCATTCCTTTCCATTCCATTCGATTCCTCTCATACCATTGCATTCCTTTCGATTCCATTCTATTAGAGTAAATTACATGCGAGACCATTACTTTTGAGACCATTCTATGAGTTCATTGCTTTCCATTCCATTTGATGTCATTCTATTCGATTCTATTCCATTCGATACCATTCCATTCCATTCCGTTCCATCCGATGCCATAGGATTCTATTCCTTTCCATTCTATTCCATTTCATTCCATTCCTTTCCATACCATTCCATTCCATTCGTTTCCATTCCATTCCAGTCCATTCCAGTCCAGTATATTCAATTCGATTCCATTCCATTCTCCTCCATTCCATTTGAGGCTATTCCATTTCATTCCATTTGATGTCTTTGCATTACAATTCATTCCATTTTATTTCTTTCATTTCCATTCAATTCCATTCAATTTGATTCCATTCCACTTGATTCCATTCCATTCGACTCCATTCCAATCGTGTCCATTCCATTTCCGTTCCCTTAAATACCATTCCATGCAAT
>NC_000024.10:11653102-11660374 GCF_000001405.40 Homo sapiens | reverse complement strand
TTTCATACTATCACATTCGATTCGATTCCATTATATTTGAATAAATTCCATTCCAGATCATTCATTTTGAGTCCATTCTATTTGAGTCCATTTCTTTAGATTCCGTTAAATTTTGGTCCATTCCATTCCATTCCATCCCATTCCATCCCATTCCATTCCATTCCATTGCATTCCAATTCATTCCGTTAGATGTCATTCCATTCGACTCTATTCCATTTGAATCCATTCCTTTCCATTCCATTCTATTAGATGCCATTCCATTGGATTCTATTCCATTTGACTCCATTCAATGCCAATCCATTCCATCCAATTCCATTCCATTACATTCTATTCCACTCCATTCCATTCCATTCCGTTCCATTCCATTCCATTCCATTCGTTTCCATTCCATTCGTGTCCATTCCACTCCAGTCAATTTCATTCGATTCCATTCCATTGGGTTCCATTCCATTCGACTTTATTCTTTTGGAGTCAATTCCATTCCATTCCATTACTTTCCATTCTGTTTAAATCCAATCCTTTGAATTCCATTCTGCTCCTTTCCTTTCCAATCGAGTCCATTCCATTCGAGTCCATTCCATTTGATTCCATTCGTTTACATTCCATTCCACTCGATTCCACTCCGTTCCGTTCTATTGCATTCCATTCTATTGCATTCCATTCCATTTGATTACATTGCATTCGATACCATTCCATTTGAATCAATTACATTGCAATCCATTACATTCGAGTCCGTTCTATTCCAGTCCATTCCTTTCTGGTCCATTCTATTCGACTGAATTCCATTTGATTCCATTACATAGTATTGCAATCCATTCGAATCCATTCCATTTGAATAAATTCCATTCGAGACCATTCCTTTTGCGTCCTTTCTATTTGAATCCATTCAATTTGAGTCCATTACATTTGGGTCCATTCCATTCCATTCTATTTGATGCCATTCCATTCCAATCTATTCCTTTTGTTTCCATTCCTTTATAGTCCATTCCATGCCATTCCAATCCATTCTATTGGCGGCCATTCCATTCTATTCTACTCCATTCTACTCCATTCCTTTACATTCTGTTCCATCCGATTCCATTCCATTCTATTCCTTTCCATCCCATTTAAATACATTCCATTCTTTTCAATTACATTCGAGTCCATTCCTCTCCAGTCCATTGCATTCAAGTCTGTTTCATTCCACTCCATTCTATTCGAGTCCATTCCATTCCATTACCTTCTGTTCAACTCCAATCCTTCCGATTCCATTATGTTCCAGTTTATTCCATTCGAGTCCATTCCATTCGATTCCACTCTGTTCCATTCCATTGCATTCCATTGTATTCCATTCCATTGCATATCTTTCCATTCAATTTGATTACATTTCATTGAATTTCATTCCATTCAAATCAATTGCGTTGCAGTCCATTACATTTGAGTCTATTCTATTCCACTCCATTCCATTCTAGTCTATTCCATTTGATTCCATTCCATGCTGTTGCATTCCATTCAATTCCATTGTATTCGAATAAATTCCATTCGATACCATTCCATTGGAATCCATTCTATTTGTGTGTATTCCATTTGATTCCATTACAATTTGGTCCATTCCATTCCATGCTATTCCATTCCATTCGATTCCATTCCATACTGTTGCATTCCATTCGATTCCTTTGTATTCGAATAAATTCCTTTTCAGACCATTCCTTTCATGTCCATTCTGTTTGAGTCCTTTAAATTCGAATCCATGACATTTGGGTCCATTAAATTCCGTCCATTAAATTCCTTTCAATTCCATTGAATTCCCTTCTTTCCGATGCCATTCCATTCCATACTATTCCTTTCCAGTCAATTCCGTTCGTTTCCATTACATTCGAGTCCATTCCACTTCAGTCCATTCCATTACAGTCCATTCCATTACAGTCCATTCCATTCGATTCGATTCGATTCCATTCCATTCAATTCGATATGTTTCCATGACACTCCATTCCATTCTATTACGTTTGATTCCATTCAATTCCATTCCATTCGACTCCATTCTATTCGAGTCCATTTTCTTCCATTCCTTTCAATTCGATTCCAATCTTTTTGACTCCATTTTGTTCCAGTCCATTACATTCTATTCCATTCCATTCGACTCCATGCCATTCCACTTGATTGCATTCCATTCGATATCATTCCATTGCACTCCATTCCTATCTATTCCTTTCGATTCCCTTCAATTCCATTCCATTTGATTCCATTCCATTCGATTTCATTCCATTGGACTCCATTCCATTCGAGTGCATTCTTTTCATTTACGTTACATTCCATTCCTTTCGATTCCAATAAGTTCGATTCCATTTTGTTCCATTCCATTCCATTCGCGTCCATTCCGTTCCAGTGCATTCCATTCGATGCCATTACGTTCCATTCTATTCCACTCGATTCCTCTCCGTTCCACTCCATTATAATCCATTGTTTTCCATTCTATTTCATTCCTTTCTTTTTCTTCTGATTACTTTACATTCGATTCTATTCCATTCGAATCAATAACATTGCAATCCATAACATTTGCGTCCGTTCCATTCCAGTCCAATCCATTTTGGTCCATTCCATTTGATTCTATTCCATTCGATCCCATTCCATACTATTGCACTCCATTCGATTCCATTCTATTCGAAAAATTTCCATTAAAGACCTTTCCTTTCATGTCCTTTCTATTTGAGTCCATTCCTTTTGAGTCCATTATATTTGGGTCCATTCCATTCGAGTCAATTCAATTCCATTCCATTTCATGCCATTCAATACGATTCCATTGGATTCTATTCCATTCACCTCCATTACTTTCCATTCTGTTACATTCGATTCCATCCCATTATAATCATTTCCATTCTGTTCCTTTCCATTCCATTCCATTCAATTCTTTTCTGTTCCGTTAGAGTCCATTGCACTCCAGAGCATTCCGTTCTAGTCTATTGCATTCCAGTCCAATCCATTCGAGTACATTCCATTCCAGGCCTCTCCATTTAAATCCATTCCATTCCATTCCATTCCATTCGATATCTTTCTGTTACACTCCATTTCATTCTATTCCTTTTGATTCCATTCAATTCCATTCTGTACGATTCATTTCCATTCGATTGCATTCCATTTGACTCCATTCCATTCGAATCCATTCCATTCCATTCCATTCCATTCCATTCCATTCCATTCCATTCCTTTCCGTTCAATTCTAATCCGTTCGATACCATTTTTTTCCTGTCCTTTCCTTTCGAGTCAATTCCATGCCAGTTCATTCCATTCTATTCCATTCCATTTGTTTCGAATCCATTCATTTCCATTCAACTCGATTCCACTCCGTTCTATTCCATGGCATTCCATTCTATTTCATTCCATTGCATTACATTCCGTTCCATTTGATTACATTCCATTCAATTCCAAGGAGTTCACATCAATTACATTTCAATCCATTACATTCCTGTGCTTTCTATTCCAGTCTATTCCATTCCGGTCGATTCTGTTCGATTCCATTCCATTTGATTCCATTCCATACTATTGCACTCTTTTCCATTCCATTCTGTTCGAATAAATTCTATTTTAGACCATTCCTTTTGAGTCCATTCTGTTTGAGTCCGTTTCATTCGATTCCTTTACGTTTTGGTTCCTTCCATTCCGTTCCATTCCATTCCTTTCATTCCATTCGATGGCAATCCATTTGACTCTGTTCCATTAAAGTCCTTTTCACTCGAGTCCATTTCATTCCGTTTCTTTCTATTCCATTCCATTCGATTTCTTTCCATTCGATACTATTCCATTCGACTTTATTCCATTCAATTCCGTTCCATCTGATTCCATTCCATTCTACTCCTTTCCATTCCATTCCATTCGTTTCCATTCCATTCGAGTCCTTTCCACTCTAGTCCATTTCATTCGAGTCCTTTCCACTCTAGTCCATTCCATTCGAGTCCACTCCATTACAGTCCTTTCCATTCGGGTCCATTCCATTCCATTTGATATCTTTCCATGACATTCCATTCTATTCTATTCCTTTGGATTCCATTCAATTACATTCCATTCAGTTCCATTCCATTCGACTCAATTGCGCTCAAGTCCATTCTATTCCATTCCATTTAATTCAGTTCTATACGATTCCAATCTGTTCGATTCCATTTTATCCAGTCCGTTACATTCGAGTCTGTTCCATTCCAGTCCATTCCATTTGATTCCATTCCATTCGATTCCATTTCATTTGATTCCATTCCACTCGATTCCACTCCGTTCCATTCCATTGAATTCCATTCTATTCCATTCAATTGCATTTCATTGCATTCCGTTTGGTTACATTCCATTCGATTCAATTCCTTTCAGATCAATTAAATTGCAATCCAATAAGTTCGAGTCTGTTCTATTCCAGTCCATTCCATTCCAGTCCATTCCATTTGATACCATTCCATACTGTTGCTTTCCTTTCGTTTCCATTCTATTCGATTAAATTCCATTCGAATCCATACCTTTCGAGTCCATTCTATTTCAGTCTGTTCCAGTCGAATCCATTACATTTGTGTCATTCTATTCCATTCCATTCCATTCCATTCCATTCCAATCCTTTCAATGCCATTCCATTCTATTCTATTCCATTCAATGCCATACCATTTAACTCTATTCCATTGGACTCCATTCCATTCCGTTCCATCTGATTCCATTCCATTCTATTCCTTTCCATTGTATTTCATTCCATTCCATTCGCTTCCATTCAATTCGAGTCCATTCCATTCCATTCCATTCTATTCCATTCGAGCCATTCTATTCGATTCTATTCCATTCGAGTCCAATCCATTCGAGTGTTCTCCATTCAATTCCATTCCATTCGATGCCATTCCATTCGATTCTATTGCATTCGACTCCTTTCCATTCCTTTAAGTTCCATCCGATTCCTTTCCATTCTATTCCTTTCTATTCCATTCCTTTCCATTCCATTCGAGTCCATTCCACTCATGTACATTCCTTTCCAGTCCATTCTAAATGAGTCCATTCCATTCCATTACTTTCGATTTGATATCTTTTCATTAAAGTTCATTCTATTCTATTCGTTTCAAATCCATTCAATTCAATTCCATTTGATTCAATTCCATTCGGGTCCATTCCATTCTAATTCATTGAAATCGAGTCCATTCCATTCTGTTCCACTCCGTTCCATTCGATTCCAATCTGATGAATTCCATTTTGTTCCAGTCAATTCCATTCGAGTCCATTCCATTCCTGTCCACTCCATTTGATTCCATTCCGTTCGATTCCCTTTCATTTGATTTCATTGCCCTCGATTCCACTACATTCCATTCAATTGCTTTCCATTCTATTCCATTCATTGCATTCTATTGCATTCAATTTAATTATATTCCATTCGATTCCTTTCCTTTCAAATCAATTATATTGCAATTGATTACATTCGAGTCTGCTTTATTCCACTCCAAGCAATTCCGGTCCATTCCATTCGATTCCATTCCATTTTATTCGATTCCATAGTATTGCATTCCATTCGATTCCATTCTATTCGAATAAATTCCATTCGAGACCATTTCTTTCGATTGCATTCTATTTGAGTCCATTCTTTTGAGTCAATTAGATTTGTTTCCATTCCGTTCCATTCCACTAAATTCCATTTCATTCCTTTCCATCCGTTGCCATTCCATTCTATTCTATTCCAGTCGAGTCCATTCAATTCCTTTCGATTTGATGCCATTCCATTCGATTCTATACCGTTCGACTCCATTCCATTCCAATCCGTTCCATCTGATTCTATTCCATTCTATTCCTTTCCATGCCATTCATTTAGTTTCCGTTCCGTTCGACTCCATTCCACTACAATCCATGCCATTTGAATCGACTCCATTCCAGTACATTCCATTCTAGTCCATTCCATTCCATTCCATTCTATTCGTTATCTTTCCAAGACACTCCATTCCATTCTATTCGTTTTGATTCCATCCAATTCCATTCCATTCGGTTCCATTGATCTGGACTCCATTCCATTCGAGTCCATTCTTTTCCATTCCAATCCGTTCTGTTCCGATCGTTTCCAATCCGTTCGATTCAATTTTGTTCCAGGCTATTACATTCGAGTCCATTAGATTCCAGTCCAATCCATTTGATTCCATTCCATTCGATTCCATTCCATTCGATTCCAGTCCATTCGAATCCACTTTATTCCATTATATTGCATTCCACTCTATTCCATTCAATTGCATTCCATTTGATTACCTTTGATTACATTCGATTCCATTATATTGAAGCTCCCACCACATTGCAATCCATTACATTCGCCTCCATTCTATTCCAGTCCTTTCCATTCTCATCCATTGCATTCTACTCCATTCCGTTCGATTCCATTACATACGATTGCTTTACATTTCATTCCATTCTACTAGAGTAAATTCCATTCGAGACTATGCCTTTCGAGTCCATTATATTTGAGTCCTTTCCATTTGAGTCCATTACATTTGGTTCCATTTCCTTCCATTCCATTGCATTCCATTCCATTCATTTCAAAGCCATTCCATTCTATTCTACTCCATTCGAGTCCATTCCATTCCATTCCATTCCATTCCATTCCATTCCATTCCATTCGATGCCATTTCATTCGATTCCATTCCATTCCATTCCATCCAATTTCATTCCATTCTATTCCTTTCAATTCCATTTCATTCCATTCCATTACTTTCCATTCCATTCGAGTCCATTCCATTCCATTCTATTCCATTCGATTTTATTCCATTCGATTTTTTTCCATTTGATTTCATTCTATTCGAGTCCTTTCCCTTCCATTCCATTCAATGCCATTGCTTTTGATTCTATTCCATTCGACTCCATTCCATTCCATTAACTTCCATCCAATCCCATTCCATTCTATTCCTTTACATTCCATGTCTTTCCATTCCATTCTTTTCCCTTCCAAACGAGTCCATTACACTCCAGTCCATTCAATGCAAGTCCATTCCATTCCATTCCATTCGGTTTTGGTCCATTCCATTCCATTTGATATCTTTCCATTACAATCCATTCCATTATATTCCTTTCGATTCTATTCCATTTCATTCCGTTCTATTCCATTCCATTCGACTCCATTCCATTTGATTGCATTCCATTCAATTCCATTCCATTCGATATTAATCCGTTCGATTCCATTTTGCTCTGATCTTTTCCGTTCGAGTCCATTCCATTCGAATATATTTCATTTGATTCCATTCCATTCAATTCCGATTCCACTCGATTCCACTCCGTTTCATTCCATTCTATTTTATTCCCTTATAT
>NC_000024.10:11647709-11653064 GCF_000001405.40 Homo sapiens | reverse complement strand
CCATTATATTCGAGTCTGTTCTACCCAGTCCATTCCATTCTGTTCCATTCCATTCGATTCCATTCCATTCCATTCTATTCCATACTATTGCATTCCT
This sequence comes from Homo sapiens, assembly GCF_000001405.40. Taxonomy (NCBI): domain Eukaryota; kingdom Metazoa; phylum Chordata; class Mammalia; order Primates; family Hominidae; genus Homo; species Homo sapiens. The sequence continues at coordinate 11,652,967 of NC_000024.10, read as the reverse complement.
TTTGATTCCATTCTATACGAAGAAATTCCCTTTGAGACCATTCCTTTCGAGTCTATTCTATTTGAGTCCATTTCATTTGATTCCATTACTTTTGTGTCCATTCCATTCTATTCCATTCCATTCCATTCCATTCCATTCCATTCCATTCCATTCCATTCCATTCCATTCTGTTGCTTTCCATTCCATTGAATGCCATTCTGTTTGATACTATTCCTTTAGTGTCCATTCCATTCGAGTCCATTCCTTTCCATTCCATTCCAATTGATGCCATTCCTTTTGATTCTATTCCATTCAACACTATACCATTTCATGCCATTCTATCCGATTCCGTTCCTTTCTATTCCTTTCCATTCCATTCCACTCCATTCCATTACAATCGTTTCCATTCCATTCGAGTTCATTTCACTCAGCCTGATACCATTTGAGTCCATTCCATTACAGTGCATTCCATTCGAGTCCATTCCATTCCAGTCCATTCCATTTGTTATATTTCCATTACTCTCCATTCCATTCTATTCTTTTTTATTCCATTCAATTCCTTTCAGTTTGATTTCATTCTTTTCAATTCCATTCCATTCAACTTCATTACATTCGAGTCCATTCAATGCCATTCCATTCCGTTACAGTCGAGTCCATTCCATTCGATTCCATTTTTTTCCCATCCATTCTTCCGAGTGCATTCCATTCCAGTCTATTTGATTCGATTCCATTCCATTTGATTCCATTATATTCAATTCCATTCCACTGGATTTCGCTCGGTTCCATTCCATTGCATTCCATTCTATTCCATTCCACTGTATAACTTTCCATTCCATTTGATTATTTTCCATTGGATTCCATTCCACTCAAATCAATTGCATTGCATTCCATTACGTTCGAGTCCGTTCTATTCCATTCCATTCAATTCTGGTGGATTCCAGTCAATTCCATTCCATACTAATGCTTTCCATTCGATTCCATTCTATTCGAATAAATTCCATTCGAAACCTTACCTTTCTAGTCCATTATATTTGTGTCTATTCTGTCCGAGTCCATTACATTTGGGTCCATTCCATTCCATTCCATTCCATTCCATTCCATTCGATGATATTCCATTCAATTCTATTCCACTTGAGTCCATTCCACTCGATTAAATTTCTTTCCGTTCCTTTATATTCAATGTCATTCCTTTTGATTCTATTCCATTTGACTGCATTCCATTCCATTCTGTTCCATTCCTTTCCATTCCATTCTATTCCTTCTCATTCCATTTCATTCCTTTCCACCGCCCTCCTTTCCATTCCATTCGAGTCCATTCAACTCCAATGCATTCCATTCCAGTCCTTTACTTTCGAGTCCATTCCATTCCATTGCTTTCCATTCGATATCTTTTCATTACACTCCATTCCATTCTATCCCTTTCTACTCCATACACTTTCATTCTTTCGATTCATTTCCATTTGGTTCCATTCTATTATATTCCATTCCAACAGAGTCCATTCCGTTCCATTCCATTCCATAACATACTGTTCCATTCGATTCCAATCTGATCAATTTCATATTTTTCCAGTCCAATCCATTCCAATCCATTCCATTCCATTCCACTCCATTCCATTCCATTCAATGTCATTGCATTCCGTTCCATTCCACTAGATTCCACTAAGTTCCATTCCATTGCATTCCATTCTATTCCATTCCATTCCATTTGATTACATTACATTCGAATCCATTCTTTTCAAATCAATTAGATTTCATTTTTTTACTTTCGAGCCAGTTCTATTCCACTCCAATCCATTCCGGTCTATTCCATTCAATTACAATTCTTTCGATTCCATTCCATACTAATTCATTCCATTCGATTCCATTCTATTTGAATAAATTGCTTTCAAAACCTTTCCTTTCAAGTCCATTCTATTTGAGTCCATTCCATTCGAGTCCATTATATTTGGTTCCAGGCCATTGCTTTCCAATCCATTCGATGTCATTCCATTCAATTCTGCTCCATTTGGGTCCATTCCATTCCATTCCATTCGAGTCCATTCCATTCCATTCCATTCCATCTGATGCCATTCCATTAGATTCTTTTCCATTCGATTCCATTCTGTTCCATTCCGTTCCATCCAATTCCATTCCGTTCTATTCCTTTCCTTTCCATTCTTTCCATTCCAATCATTTCCTTTCCATTTGAGTCCAATCCTCTCCAGTCCATTCCATTCCAGTCCCATTCCATTGCGGTCTACTCCAATCCAGTCCATACCATTCCATTCGAGTCCAATCTTCTCCAGGCCATTCCATTCCAGTCCATTCTATTCCAGTCTATTCCATTCCATTCCATTCCATTCCATTCCATTCCTTTCTTTTTGATATCTTTCCATTACACTCCATTTGATTCTATTCCTTTCGATTCTATTCAATTCCATTACATTCATGTCCATTCCATTTGATTTCATTGAAACCGACTCCATTCCATTTGAGTCCATTCCATTCCGTTTGTTATGTTTCCATTAAACTCTATTCCATTCTATTCCTTTCGATTCTATTCAATTCCATTCCATTCGATTCCATTCCATTCCATTCGGTTCCTTTCCATTCGACTGCATTCCATTCGTGTCCATTGTATTCCAATCCATTCCATTCTATTCCATTTGATTACAATCTGTTTGATTCCATTTTGTACCAGTCCATTCCATTCGAGTGCATTCCATTACAGTCCATGCCATTCGATTACACTCCATTCGATTCCAGTCCATGCCATTTGATACCATTCCATATGATTCCATTCAATTCGATTCCATTACACTCGACTCTACTCCACTCGATTCCACTCCGTTCCCCTTTATGGCATTTAATTCTATTCCATTCCATTGCTTACCATTCTAATCCATTTTATTACATTCCATTTGAATGCATTGCATTGAAATAAATTACATTGCAATGCATTTCATTCGAGTCGGTTCTATCCCATTCCATTCCATTCTGGTACAGTACGTTCGATTCCATTCCATACTATTTCATTCCATTCGATTCCATTCAACTTGATTCCATTTGATACCATTCCTTTCGATTCCATTCCATACTACTGCATTCTATTCAATTCCATTCTATTTGAATAAATTCCATTCGAGAAAATTCCTTTAGAGTGCATTACGTTTGAGTCCATTCATTCGAGTCCATTATATTTGGGTCCATTCTGTTCCATTAAAATCCATTCGATGTCATTCCCTTTTATGCTGTTCCATTCAAGTCCATTCCATTGGAGTCCATACCAATCCATACCATTCCATTCCATTCGAAACCATTCCATTCGATTTTATTCGATTCAACTCCATTCCATTCCATTCCATTCCATTCCATTCCATTCCATTCCATTTCATCCCATTCCTTTCCATTCTTTTCCTTTCCATTGCATTGCATTCCATTCGTTTCTATTCCATTCGATTCCATTCCATTCCATTCAATGCCATTCCATTTGATTCTATTCCATTCGATTCCATTTCATTCCATCCAATTTCATTCCATTCTATTCCTTTCCATTCCATTCCATTCCTTTCCATTCCATTCAATTCGTTATCATTCCATTCGAGTCCATTCCACTCCATTCCATTCCATTTGATTCCATTCCTTTCCAGTCCATTCCATTTGAGTCCTTTCCAAACCATTACATTCGATCTTCCCATTACTTTCCATTTCATTCTATACCTTTCAATTTGATTCAATTACATTCCATTCGGTTTCATTCCATTAGACTCCATTCCATTCGTGTCCATTCCACTGCACTCCATTCCATTCCTTTCCATTCCATTCCATTTTGTTCCAGTAAATTCCATTCGAGTCCTTTCCATTCCAGTCCATTCCATTTGATTCCATTCCACTCGATTCAACTCCATTCTATTGCATTGCACTCCATTCTATTCCATTCCATTCTATTTGATTACTTTCCATTAGATTCCATTACATTCGAATCAAATACATTGCAATCCAGTACATTCGAGTCCGTTCTATTCCCTTCCATTCCATTCTATTTTATTCCATTCGATTCCATTCCATTTGATTCCATTCCATACTATTACATTAAATTCGATTACATTCTATTTGAATGAATTCCATTCGAGATCCTTTCTTTCGAGTGCATTCTATTTGAGTCCATTCCATTCGAGTCCATTCCATTTGGTTCCATTCCATTCCATTCAATGCCATTCTATCGTATTCTATTGCATTCGAATCCGTTCAATTCGAGGCCATTCTATTCCGTTCCATTTCATTCCATTCCATTCGATGCCATTCCATTCGTTTATATTCCATTCGACTTCATTCCATTCCATTTCCCTTCCATCCCATTTCATTCCTTTGTATTCCTTTCCATTCAATTCCTTTCCATTCCATTGTATTCCACTCCATTCGATTCCATTCCACTCTATTCCATTCCATTCGTTTCCATTCTATTCGAGTCGATTCCATTCCTTTCCATTCCATTCAATGCTTTTCATTCGACTGTATTACCTTCAACTCCATTCCATTCCGTTACGTTCCTTCCGATTTCATTCCATTCTATTCCTTTCCATTCCATTCCAGTCCTTTCCGTTTAATTCCATTCGTTTCCATTCCGTTCAAGTCCATTCCACTCCAGTCCATTCCATTCGAGTGTGTTCCATTCCATTACATTCCATTCGAGTCCATTCCATTCTAATACATTCGATATCTTTCCTTTACACTCTATATCTTTCCATTACACTAAGTTGCATTCTATTCTTTTGATTCCATTCAATTCCATTCTATTCAGTTCCATTAAATTCGACTGCATTCCATTCGAGTCCATTCCTTTGCGTTCTATTCCATTCTGTTCCCTTCCATTCCAATCCGGTGGTTTCCATTTTGTTTCAGTCCATTCCATTCCAGTCCATTTCTTTGGATTCCATTCCTTTCAATTCCACTCCATTCTATTCCATTGAATTCCATTCTACTCCATTCAATTCCATTCCATGTGATTACATTCCATTCGTTTCCATTCCATTCCATTCAATTACATTGCAATCCATTCCATTCCATTCCATTGTATTCCAGTCCCTTCCATTCCAGTCCATTCCATTCGATTACATTCCATTGGATTCCATTTCATACTATTGCATTCCATTAGATTTCATTCTATTTGTATAAATTCCATTTGAAAAAATTCCTTTCGAGTCCATTCTATTTGAGTCCATTCCATTCGAGTCCTTTACATTTGTGTCCATTCCATTGATTTCCGTTGGATTCCATTCCGTTCCATTCCATTCGATGGC
>NC_000024.10:11642902-11647442 GCF_000001405.40 Homo sapiens | reverse complement strand
TGGTGTCCATTGTATTCCAGTACATTCAATTCTGGTCCATTCCATTCGATACCATAACTTTCGATTCCATTTTATACTATTGCGTTCTATTCGATTCCTTTCTACTCGAATAAATTCCATTCGAGTCCATTCCTTTCTAGTCCATTCTGTTTGTGTCTATTCCGTTCAAGTCCATTACATTTGTGTCCATTCCATTCCATTTCATTAAATTCAATTCCATTCGATGCCATTCCATTCAATCCATTCCACTTGATTCCATTCCATTTGATTAATTTCCGTTCTGTTCCATTCCATTATATTCGATGTCATTCCATTCGATTCTGTTCCATTCGACTCCATTCCATTCCATTCCGTTCCATTCGATTCCATTTCATTCTATTCCTTCCCTCTCCATTTCATTCCATTCCATGGAACTCCTTTCCATTCCGTTCAAGTTCATTCAACTCCTGTCCATTATATTCCTCTCCTTTCCTTTCGAGTCCATTCCATTCGATATCTTTTCATTACACTCCATTCCATTCTGTCTCTTTCTATTCAATTCACTCTCATTCTTTCGATTCAATTCCATTCGGTTCCATTTCATTATACTCCTTTCCATTCGAGTCCATTCCATTCCATTCCGTTCCGTTAGATTCCAATCCAATCGATTCCAATTCATTCCAGTCTAATCTCTTCGAGTCCATTCCATTCCACTCCATTCCATTTGATTCCACTCTATTCAATTTCATTCCACTAGATTCCATTCCACTAGATTCCACTCAGTTCCATTCCATTGCGTTTCATTCTACTCCCTTTCATTGCATTACATTCCATTCCATTTGATTACATTACTTTAGATTCCCTTCCTTTCAAATCAATTACGTTACATTCTATTACATTCGAGCCCATTCTATTCCACTCCAATCCATTCTGTTCCATTCCATTCGATTCCAGTTCTTTCGATTCCATTCCACACTGTTGCATTCCATTCAATTCCATTCTATTCGAATAAATTGCGTTCGAGACCATTCCTTTCGAGTCCATTACATTTCATTCCATGCCATTCCATTGCAGTCCATTCGATGACATTCCTTTCAATTCTGCTCCATTCGAGTCCATTCCATTCAAGCCCATTCCATTCCATCTGATGCCGTACCATTCGATTCTATTCCACTCGACTGCATTCCATTCCATTCCATTCCATTCCATTCCATTCCATTCCATTCCGTTCCATTCCATTCCGTTCCATCCAATTCCATTCCATTCCATTCTATTCCTTTCCATTCATTTCCTTTCCATTCGAGTACAATCCTCTCCAGTCCATTCCATTCCAGTCCATTCCATTCCATTCCTTTTTATTCGATATCTTTCCATTTCACTCCATTCGATTCTATTCCTTTCGTTTCTGTTCACTTCCATTCCATTCAATTCCATTCCTTTCAATTTCATTCCATTCAACTCCATTCCATTCGAGTCCATTACATTCCATTTGATGTCTTTCCATTACACTCCATTTCATTCTATTCCTTTCGATTCCATTCAATTCCATTCCATTCGATTCCATACCACTTGGATCCTTTCTATTCGACTCCATTCCATTTGAGTCCTTTCCATTCCATTCCATTCAATTCAGTTAGGTTCGATTCCCATCTGTCCGATTCCGTTTTGTTCCAGTCAATTGCATTCGAGTCCACTGCATTCTAGTCCGTGCCATTCCATTCCATTCCAATCTATTACATTCCATTCAATTCCAGTCCATGCCGTTTGATACCATTCCATACAATTCTATTCCATTTGATTAAATTACACTCCATTCTACTCCACTCGATTCCACTCCATTCCCCTTTATTGCATTCCATTCTATTCCATTCCATTTCTTACCATTCCAATCCATTTGATTACATTCCATTTGAATCCATTCTATTCAAATCAATTACATTGCAATCCATATCATTCAAATCGGTTTTATTCCATTCCATTCCATTCTGGTCCATTGCATTCTATTCCATTCCATACAATTCCATTCCATTCGATTCCATTCCACTGGATTCCACTCCATTTCCTTTTATTGCATTCCATTCTTATCCATTCCGTTGCATACCATTCCATTCCATTTCATTACATTCCTTTTGAATCCATTCATTTCAAATCCATTAAATTGCAATCCATTACATTCGAGTCGCTTCTATTCCAGTCCATTCCATTCCGGTTCATTCCATTCTATTCCATTCCATTCGATATCATTCCATACTAATTCATTCCATTCGATTCCATTGTATTATAATGAATTCCATTCGAGACCATTCCTTTCAAGTCCATTGTACTTGAGTCCATTCCACTTGAGTCCATTCCATTTGTGTCCTTTACATTTGGGTCCAATCCATTACATTCCTATCCATTGCATTCCAATCCATTTCATTCCATTTGATTCGACGTCATTCCATTCTCTTCTATTGCATTCGAGTCCATTACATTTTAGTTCAATCCATTCCAGTCAGTTCGATACCATTCCATTAGATTCTATACCATTTGACTCCATTCCTTTCTATTCCGTTCCAACTGATTCCATTCCTTTCCATTCCTTTCCTTTCCATTCGATGTCATGCCATTCCATTCTACTACATTCAAGTCCATTCCATTCGAGTCCATTCCATTGCATTCCATTCGATGCCATTACACTCAATTTTATTCCATTCTAATCCATTCTATTGCATCCAATTCAATTCCAATCCATTCCTTTGCATTTCATTGCATTCCGTTCGTTTCCATTGCATTCGAGTCAATTCCATTCCATTCTATTACATTCAATGCCATTTCATTCGACTCTATTCTATTCGACTCCATTCCATACCATTCCCGTCCATCTGATTTCATTCCATTCTATTCCTTTCAATTCTATTGCAGTCCTTTCCATTTCATTTCATTCGTTTCCATTCCATTCAAGTCCATTCTACTCGAGTCCGTTCCACTCCAGTCTGTTCCATTCCAGTCCATTCCATTCGAGACCATTCCATTCCATTCCTGTCCTTTCCATTCAAAGAAATTCCTTTACACTCCTATCAATTCTATTCCTTTTGATTCTCATCAATTCCATTCCATTTGATTCCATTCTATTTGAATCCATTCCATTCCATTCTTTTCCTTTCCATTCCTTTCCTTTTGATTCAAATCCATTCCATTCCATTTTCGTCCCATCCATTCCATTCGATTTCATTCCATGCTAGGCCATTCCATTTGATTCCATTCCATTCGATTCTGTTCAAGTCGATTTCACTCCATTCCATTCCGTTGCATTCCATTCTATTCCATTCCTTTGTATTCCATTCCATTTCGTTAGATTATATTCCATTCGATTAAATTCTATTCGAATCAATTACATTGCAATCCATTACATTGGACTCCATACTATTCTAGTCCATTCTTTCCTGTCAATTACATTCGTTTCCATTCCATTTGATTCCATTAATTTCTATTGCCTTCGATTTGACTCTTTTATATTCGAATAAATTCCATTCAAGAACATTCCTTTCGTTTCCATTCTATTTGAATCCATTCCATTCGAGTCCATTCCATTTAAGTCCACCACATTCCATTCCATTCCATTCGAGGCCATTCTAAATGATTCTATTCCATTTGAATCCATTCCATTCCATTCCATTCCAATCTATTCCATTCCATTCCATTCCATTCCATTCCATTCCATTCCATTCCATTCCATTCCATTCCATTCCATTCCAATCAATTCCATTCCATTCCATTCCATTCCATTCCATTCCATTCCATTCCGTTCCATTCCATTCCATTCCATTCCTTTCATTTCCATACCATTAGAATCCATTCCACTCCAGTCCATTCCTTTCGTTTCCAATGTTTTCCAGTCCATTCAATTTGAGTCTATTACATTCGATTCGGTATATTTCCAAGACACTCCATTCCATTCTATTCCTTTCGATTCCATTCAATTCCATTCTGTTTGATTCCGTTCCATTCGATTCCATTACTTTCAAATCCATTCCATTCATATCCATTCCATTCCATTCCTTTCAGAACAATTCCAATCCATTCGGTTCCATTTTTTTCCACTCCAATCTATTCGAGACCATTCCATTCCATTGCATTCCATTCCATTCCTTTTCATTCCATTCCATTCCATTGAACTCCATTGCACTCGATTCCACTCTGTTCCATTCCATTGCACTTCACTCTATACCATTCCATTGCATTCCTTTCCATTCCATTTGATTACATTCCATTCGATTCCATTCCATTCGAATCAATTACATTACAATCCGTTACATTCTATTCCTTTCTATTCCAGTATATTCCATTCGATATCTTTCCATTAAACTCCATTCCATTCTATTCCTTTCGAATCCATTCAATTCCATTCCATTCGATTCCATTCTATTCGATTCCATTCCGTTTCACTCCATTCCATTCATGTCGATTCGATTCCATTCTATTCCTTTCCATTCCTTTCGATTCCAATCCGTTCTATTCAATTTTGTTCCAGTCCATTGCATTCGAGTCCATTCAATTCCAGTCCATTCCATTCGATTAC
>NC_000024.10:11029160-11036252 GCF_000001405.40 Homo sapiens | reverse complement strand
TTGGAGTGGAATGGAGAGAAGTGGAGTGGAATGGAGTGGAGTGGAGTGAAGTGGAGTGGAGTGGAGAGGAGTGGATTTGAGTGGAGTGGAATGGAGTGGAGTGGAGGTGAATGGAGTGGAGTGGAATGGAGAAGAGTGGAGTGGAATGGAGTGGAATGGAGTGGAGTGTAGTGGAGTGGAAAGGAGTGGAGTGGAATGGAGTGGAGTGGAAAGGAATATAGTGGAATGGAGTGGAGTGGAGTGGAATGAAGAAGAATGGAATTGGTTGGAATGGAATGGAATGAAGTGGAGTGGAGTGGGATGGAGTGGAATGGAGTGGAATCTAATGGAATGGAATGGAACAGAATGGAATGGAACAGAAAGGAATGAAACAGAATGGAATGGAATCGAATGGAATGCCATGGAATGCAATTGAATAGAATGCAATGCAATGGAAAGTTGACATGTAATGTGAGCTGAGATTGTGCCACTGCACTCCAGCCTGGGTGACACAGTGATATCTTGTCAAAAGAAAGGAATGGAATCAATGGATTGAAATGGACTGAAATGGAATTTAATAGAGGGGATTGGAGTGTACTGGAGAAGAGTGGAATGGAGTGGAGTGGAATGGAGTCTAAAGGAATGGGATGGAGTGGAATGGAATGGAGTGGAGTGGAGTGGAGTCGAGTAGAGTGAAATAGAGTGTAATGGAATGGGATGGAATGGAATGCAATGGAATGGTCAAAAGAAATATGAGCTGAATTTGTGCAACTACACTGCAGGCTTTGCGACAGAGTGAGATCCTACAAAAAGAAAGAAATGGAATGGAATGGAGTGGAACGGAGTGGAATGGAGTGGAGTGGAGTGGAATGAAGTAGACTGGAGTGGAGTGGAATGGAGTGGAGTGGAATGGAGCAGAATGCAGTGGAGTGGAATTGAGTGGAGTTGAGTGGAGTGGAATGAAGTGGTGTGGAGTGGATTGGAATGGATTGGAATGGAATGGAGTGGAGTGAAGTGGAGTGGAGTGGAGTTCAGTGGGATGGCGTGGAGTGGAAAGGAAAGGAGTGGAGTGCAGTGAAGTGTTGTGGAACGGAATGGAATGGAATGGAACAGAATGCAAAAGAAAAGACTGGAATGCAATGCTGAAAAGAAATATTTACTGAGATTTGGCGAATACGCTACAGCCTGTGTGACAGAGGGAGACCCTGTCAAAAGAGGGGAATGTAATAGAAGGGATTAGAGTATAATGGAATGGAATGGATTGGAGTGGAGTGGAGTGAAATTGGCGGATTGCAGTGGATTTCAGTGGTATGGAATGAAGTGCAATGGAATGGTGAAATGAAATGTGAGCTGAGATTGTGCCACTGCACACCAGCCTGGGTTACAGAGTGAGATCCTGTCAAAAGAAAGTCATGGAATGGAATGGAGTGGAATGGAATGCAATGGACTGGAGTGGAGTGGAGTGGAAAGGAGTGGAATGGAATGGGATGGAATAGAAAGGAGAGGAGTGGACTGGAATGGAATGGAGTGGAGTTGAATGGAATGGATTGGAATGGAGTGGAGTGGAGTGGAGCGGAATGGAATGGAATGAAATCGATTTGAATAGAATGGAATGGTGAAATGAAATGTGAGCTGAGATTGTGCCATTGCGCTCCAGGCTGTGTGACAGAGTGAGATACTCTCGAAAGAAAGGAATGGATTGGAATGTAGTTGGATGGAATGGAGTGGATTGGAATGGAGTGGAGTGGAGTGATGTGGAGTGGAGTGGAATTGAGCAGAATGGAATAGGATGGAATGGAAAGGAATTAAGTGGAGTGGAGTGAGGAGACTGCAGAGGAAGGGATTGGGTTGGAATTAATGGATTGGAGTGAAGTGCAGTGGAGTAGAGAGGAGTGGAGTAGAGTGTAATGCAATCATATATAATGGAAAGCAGTGGAGTGGAGTTGAGTGGAGTGGAACAGAGTGGAATGGAATGGAAAGGAATGCAATGGAATGCAATGGAAAGAATGCAATGTAATGGAAAGTTGACATGTAATGTGAGTGGAGATTGTGCCACCGCACAGCAGCCTGGGTGACACAGTTATATCACGTTGAAAGAAAGAAAAGAAATTCAATGTAGTGAAATGGAATGTAATAGAATGGAATGGAATGGAGTGGAGTGGAGTGTAATGGAATGGGATGGAATGGAATGCAATGGAATGGTGAAAATAAATGTGAGCTGAGATTGTGCCACTGCACTCGAGCCATTGTGACAGAGAGAGATCCTCTGGAAAGAAAGGAATGGAATGGAATCGAGTGGAATGGAATGGAGAGGAGTTTAGTGGAGGTGAGTGGAGCAGAATGGAATGGAGTGGAATGGAGTGGAGTGGAATGGAATGGAATGGATTGGAATGGAGTGGAGTGGAATGGATTGGAATGGAGTGGAATGGAGCAGAGTGGAATGGAATGGAGTAGATTGGAGTGGAGTGGAGTGGATAGCAATGGAGTGCAGTGAAATGGAGTTGAGTGGAGTGGAATGGAGTTGAGTGGAGTGGAATGCAATGGAGTGTAGTTGAGTGGAGTGGAGTGGCATGGAGTGGAGTGGAATGGAATGGAGTGGATTGGAGTGGAATGAGTAGAGTTGAATGGAGGGGAAAGGTATTGAGTGGAGAGGAGTGGAGTGGAGTGTAGTGGAGTTGAGTGTAGTGGAGTGGAATTTAATGGAATGGCATGGAATGGAATGGAATGGAATGGTGAAAAGAAATGTGTGTTGAGATCGTGGCACTATGCTACAGCCTGTGTGACAGAGAGATCCTGTCGAAAGAAAGCAGTGGAACGAAAGGGAATTCAATGGAAGGGGATGAAATGGAATGAAGTGGAGTGGAGTGGGGTGGAGTAGATTGCAGTGGAATGGAGTGGAATGGAATGGATGTAGTGGAATAGAGTGGAGTGGAGTGCTTTGGAGTGGAGAGGAGTGGAATGGAGTGGAATGAAATTGCATGTAATGGAATGTAGTGGAGTGGAGTGGAGTGGAACAGAGTGGAAAGGAATGGAACTGAATGAGAAGGAATGGAATGGAATGCACAGGAATGGAATGCACAGGAATGGAATGGAATGGAATGGAATGGAATGGAATGGAATGGAATGGAATGGAATGCAATGGAATAGAATGCAATACAATGGAAAGCTGACATGTATTGTGAGCTGAGATTGTACCACTGCACACAAGCCTGGGTGACACCGTGATATCCCGTCGAAAGAAAGCAATGGAATGCAATGGTGTGAATTCGAATTGAAGGTAATGGAATTGAGTGGAATGGAGTGGAGTGGAGTCGAATGGAAAGGGATGGAGAGGAATGGAATGGAGTTTAGTGGAGTGGAGTGAAATAGAGTGGAATGGAATGGGATGGAATGGAAAGAAATTGAATGGTGAAAATAAATGTGAGCTGAGATTGTACCACTGAACTCCAGCCTTTTTGATAGAATGGGATACTGTGGAAAGAAAGGAATGGAATGGAGTGGAGAGCAGTGGAGTGGAGGGGAATAGAGTGAAATGGAGTGGAGTGGAGTGGAGACGAATGAAGTGGAGTGGAGTGGAGTGGAATGGTTTGGAGTGGAGTGGAGTAAAATTGATTATAGTGGAGTGAAGTGCCGTGGAATGGAGAGGAGCATAGTTGAATGGAGTGGAGTGGAGTGGAATGGAATGGATTGGAATGGAATGTTTTGGAGTGGAGTGGAGTAAAACTGATTATAGTGGAGTGAAATGCCATGGAATGGAATGGAATGGAATAGTGAAATGAAATGAGAGCTGAGATTGGAGATTGTGCTGTGGAAGTGGAGAGGAGCTTAGTTGAATGGAGTGGAGTGGAGTGGAGTGGGCGGAGATGGAGCGGAATGGATTGGAATGGATTGAAATGGAATGGAATGGTTTGGACTGGAGTGGAGTGGAGAAAATTGATTATAGTGGACTGAAGTGCCGTGGAATGGAATGGAGTGGAATGGAATGGAATAGTGAAAAGAAATGTGAGCAGAGATTCTGCCACTGCACACCAGCCTGGGTGACAGAGTGAGATCCTGTCAAAAGAATGGAATGGAATGGAGTGTAATCGAATGGAATGGAGTGGAATGGAGTGGAGTGGAGTGGAAAGGATTGGATTGGAATGAGATGGAATGGAAAGAAATGGAGTGGACTGGAATGCAGTGGAATGGAGTGGAGTGGAGTGGATTGGAGTGTATTGGAGTAAAATGGAATGGAATGGAATGCAATGCAATGGAATGGAATTGTGAAATGAAATGGGACGTGAGATTGTGCCACTGCACTCCAGTCTGGGTGACAGAGTGAGATAAAATCGAGGAAAAGGAATAGAATGGAATGCAGTGGAATGGAATGGAATGGAGTGTACATAAGTGCAGTGGAATTCATGAAGTGAAGTGGAGTGAAATGGAGAGGAATGGAATGGGTTGAAATGGATTGGATTGAAGTGGAGTGGAGTGGGGTGGAAGGGAGTGCAGTGGAATGGAGTGGAATTGAATGGGATCGAAGGGAATGGAGTGGAGTGGAGTGCAGTGGAGTGAAAAGGAGTGGAATGGAGTGGAATGGAATCGTGTGTAATGGAATGTAGTGGAGTGGAGGGGAGTGGATTGGAACAGAGTGGAACGGAACGGAACGGAATGGAATGGAATGGAATGGAATGGAATGGAATGGAATGGAATGGAATGGAATGGTGAAATGAAATGTGAGCTGAGATTGTGCAACAGTGCTCCAGGATGGTTGACAGAGTTAGAAACTCAAAAGAAAGGAATGGAATGGAATGCTGTGGAATGGAATGGAATGGAATGGACTGGAGAGGAGTGGAGTGGGGTGAAGTGGAGTGGAGTGGAATGGAGAGGAATGGAATGGGACTGAATGGAATGGAATGAAGAGGAGTGGAGTGGGGTGGAGTGGAGTGTAGTTGAATGGAGCAGAATGGAATGGGATGGAATGGAATGGAGTGGAGTGGAGTGCAGTGGAGTGTAGAGGAGTGGAACGGAATTGGATGTAATGGAATGTACTGGAGTGGAGTGGAGTAGAATGGAGTGGAGTGGAATGGAATGGAATGGAATGCAGTGGAATAAAATGGAATAGAATACAATACAATGGGAAGTTGACATGTAATGTGAGCTGAGATTGTGCCACTGCATTCCAGCCTGGGTGACGCAGTGATAGCCTTTTGAAAGAAAGGAATGGAATGCAACTGAGTGAGATGGAATGGAATCGAATGGAGTGCAATGGAATGGAGAGGAGTAGAGTGGAGTGGAGGGGAGTGGAATGGAGTGAAATAGAGTGGAATGGAATGGGATGGAAAGGAATGTAATAGAAGAGTGAAAAGAAATTTGAGCTGAGATTGTGCCACCACATTCCAGCATTTGTGACAGAGTGAGATCCTGTGGAAAGGAAAGAATGGAATGGAATGGAGTGGAATGCAATGGAGTAGAGTGGAGTGGAGTTGAGTGGAATAGAGTTGAGTGGAATGGAGTGGAGTGGAGTGGAGTGGAATGGAATGCAGTGGAGAGGAGTGGAGTGGACTGAAGTGGAGCAGAGTGGAGTGGAATGGAATGGAGTGGAATGGAGGGTAGTGGAGTGGAATGGAGTGGAGTGTAATGGAGTGGATTGGAGTGGAAAGCAGTGGAAATGAATGCAGTGGAGTGCAGTGGCATGGAGTGGAGTGCAGTGGCATGGAGTGGAGTGCAAAGGAGTGGAGTCCAGTGTAGTGGAAAAGAGTGGAACAGAAAGGGACGGAATGGAACAGAACGGAATTGAATGGAATGGAATGGTGAAAAGAAATGTGTGCTAAGATAGTGCCACTATGCTACAGCCTGTGTGACAGAGGGAGATACTGTCGAAAGAAAGGAGTGGAATGGAAGGGATTGGAATGGAGTGGAATGGAATGGATTGTAGTGGGGTTGAGTGGAATTGAGTGGAGTGGAGTGCCGTGTAATAGCATGGAATGGAATGGTGAAATGAAATGTGAGCTGAGATTGTTCCACTGTACAACAGCCTGGGTGACAGAGGGAGATCCTGTCAAAAGAAAGGAATGGAATGGAATGGAGTGGAATGGAATGGAATGGAGTGGAATGGAATGGAATGGATTGGATGGAGTGGAGTTGAGTGGAAAGGAGTGGAATGTAATGGGATGGAATGGAAAGGAGTGGAGTTGACTGGAATGGAGTGGAGTGGAGTGGAGTGGAATTATTTGGAGTGGAGCGGAGTGGAGTGGAGTGAAATGGAATGGAATGGAATCGACTGGATGGAATGGTGCAACGAAATGTGAGTTGAGATTGTGTTACTGCCATCCAGGTTGGTTGAAAGAGTGAGACACTCTCGAAAGAAAGTAATAGAATGGAATGCAGTAGAAAGGAATGGAAAGGAATACAATGGAATGGAACAGAGTGGACTGGAGTGGAGTGGAGTGAAGTGAAGTGGAGTGGAGTGGAATGGAGAGGAATGTTATTGGATGGAATGGAATGAGATGGAGTGGAGTGGGGTAGAGTGGAGTGTAGTGGAATGGAGAGGAATGGAATGGAATGGAGTGGAATGGAGTGGAGTGGAGAGCAGTGGAGTGGAGAGGAGTGGAATTGAGTGTAATGGAAAAAGATGTAATCGGAAGTGGTCCAGTGGATTGGAGTGGAGTGGAACGGAGGGGAAAGGAATGGAATTGAATGAAATGGAATGGAGTGGAATGGAACGGAATGGAATGCAATGGAATAGAAAGCAATGAAATGGAAAGTTGAAATGTAATGTGAGCTACGATTGTGCCACTGCACTCCTTCCTGAGTGACAGAGTGATATTCTGTTGAAAGAAAGCAATGGAATGCAATGGATTGAAATGGAATGGAATGGAGTGGAGTGGAGTGCAGTGGAGTGAAGTGTAATGCAGTCGAATGGAATGTGATGAAGTGGAATGGAATGGAGTCGAGTGGAGTGGAGTGAAATAGAGTGGAATGTAAAGGGATGGAATGGAATGGAAAGGAATGGTGAAAAGAAACGTGAGCTGATATTGTGCCACTGCAATACAGCTTTTATGACAGAGTGAGATCCTGTGGAAAGAAAGTAATGGAATGGAGTGGAATGGAATGGAATGGAGTGGAGTGGAG
>NC_000024.10:11024266-11028342 GCF_000001405.40 Homo sapiens | reverse complement strand
TGAAAGAAATGAGATGAGATTGTACCACTGCACTCCAGCATTTATGACAGAGTGAGATGCTGTGGAAAGAAAGTAATGGAATGGAATGGAGTGGAATGGAATGGAATGGAGTGAAGTGGAGTTCAGTGGAGTGGAGTGGAATGGAGTGGAGTGGAATGGCATGGAATGGAGTGGAGTGGAGTGGAATGGTGTGGAGTGGACTGGAGTGGAGTGGAATGGAGCGTAATAGAGTGGAGTGGAACGGACTGGAGTGGAGTGGAGTGAAATAGAGTAGAGTGAAATGGAGTGAAGTAGAGTGGAGTGGAATGGCGTGGAATGGAATGGAGTGGAGTGGAGTGGAGTAGAGTGGAACCGAGTGGAACAAAATGGAACAGAAGGGAACAGAATGGAATGGAATGGAATGGAATGGTGAAAAGAAATGTGTGCAGAGATTGTACCACTACTCAACAGCCTGTGGGACAGTGGGAGATGCTGTCAAAAGAAAGGAGTGGAATGGAAGGGATAGGAATGGAATGGATGGGAGTGGAATGGAGTGGAAATGAATGGAATGGAGTGGAGTGCAGTGGAATGGAATTGAATGTAATGGTGAAATGAAATGTGAGCTGAGATTGTGTCACTGCACACCCGCTTGGGTGACAGAGTGAGGTCCTGTGAGAAGAAAGGAATGGAATGGAATGGAGTGTAATGGAATGGAATGGAGTGAAGTGGAGTGGTATGGAGTGGAAAGGTGTGGAATGGATTGCAATGGAAGGGAAAGAAGTGGAGTGGACTGGAATGGAGTGAAGTGAAGTGGAGTGGAATGGAGTGCATTAGAGTGGAGTGGAGTGGATTGTAGTGGAATGGATTGGAGTGGAGTGGATTGGAATGCAGTGGAGTGGAGTGCAGTGGAGTGGAATGCAGTGGAGAGGAAAGGAGTAGAGTAAAGTGGAGTGGAGTGGGTTGGAATGGAGTGAAGTGGAATGGAATGGAGTGGAGTTAAGTGGAGTTGAGTGGAATGGAGTTGAGTGGAGTGGAGTGGAATGGAGTGGAGTGGAATGTAGTGGAGTGGAATGGAGTGGAGTGGAGTGGCGTGGAGTGGAACGAAATTGAACGGAATGGAACAGAACAGAATGGAGTGCAATGGAATGCAAAGGAATGGTGTAAATAAATTTGTGCTGAGATTGTGCCACTATGCTACAGCCTGTGTGACAGACGGAGATTCTGTCGAAAGAAAGGAGTGGAATGGAAGGGATTGGAATGGATTGGAATGGACTGGAGTGGAGTGGAGTGGAGTGGAGAGGAATTGAGTGGAGTGGAATGGAGTGCAGTGGAATGGAATGGTATGGAATGAAATGGAGTGGACTTTATTGGAGTGGAGTGAAGTGGACTGGAGTGGAATGGAGAGGAATGGAATGGGATCGAATGGAGTGAAGTGGAGTGGAGTGGATTGGAGAGGAGTGGAATGGAATAGAATGGAATGTTGAAATGAAATGTGAGCTGAGATTGTGCGGCAGCGCTCCAGGCTGGTTGACAGAGTGAGATACTCTGGAAAGAAAGGAATAGAATGGAATGTCATGGGATGGAATGGAATGGAATGTGCTGGAGAAGAGTGGAGAGGGGTGAAGTGCAGAGGAGTGGAATGGAGAGGAATAGAATGGGACGGAATGGAATAGAATAAAGTAGAGTGGAGTGGGGTGAAGTGGATTGCCATTGAATAGAGTGGAATGGAATGGAATGGAATGGTGTGGAGTGGAGTGCAGGGAAGTGGAGAGGAGTGTAATGGAGAGGAAAGGAATCAGATGTAATGGAATGTAGCGGAGTGGATTTGAGTTGAGTGGAATGGACTGGAATGGAATGGATTTGAATGGAATGGAAATGAATGCGGTGGAATGCAATGGAATAGAATGCAATGCATTAGAAAGATGACATGTAATGTGAGCTGAGATTGCACCAGTGCACTCCAGCCTGGGTGACACAGTGATAGCCTGTTGAAAGAAAGGAATGGAATGCAATGAAGTGAAATGGAATGGAATCGAATGGAATGCAATGGAGTGGAGTGGAGGGTAGAGGAAGGGAGTCGAATGGAAAGGGATGGAGCGGAATGCAATGGAGTGGAATGGAGTGAAATAGAGTGGAATGGAATGGGATGGAAAGGAATGCAATAGAATGGTGAAAAGAAATGTGAGCTGAGATTGTGCCATTGTACTCCAGCGTTTGTGACAGAGTGAGATCCTGTGGAAAGAAAGGAATGGAATGGAGTGGAGTGGAATAGAATGGAGTGGAGTGGAGTGGTGTGCAGTGGAATGGAGTGGAGTGGAATGGAGTGGAGTGGAGTGGAGTGGAGTGGAATGGCCTGGAGTGGAGTGGAGTGGATTGGAAAGGAGTGAAATGGAGGGGAGTGGAGGGGAATGCAGTGGAATGGAATGGAGTGGAGTGGAATGGAGTGGAGTGGAGTAGAAGGGAGTGGAGTGGAATGTAGTGGAGTAGAGTGGAGTGGAAAAGAGTGGGATGAAATTGGACGGAATGGAATGGTGAAAAGAAATGTGTGCTGAGATAGTGCCACTATGCTGCAGCCAGTGTGACAGAGGGAGATACTGTCAAAAGAAAAAAGTGGAAAGAAAGGGATTGGAATGGAATGGAATGGATTGGAGTGCCGTGGAGTGAAATTGAGTGGAGTGGCGTGGAGTGCAGTATAATGGAATGGAAGGGAATGGTGAATTGAGATGTGAGCTGAGATTGTTCAACTGTACACCAGTCTTGGTGACAAAGAGAGATCCTGTCAAAAGAAAGGAATGGAATGGAATGGAGAGGAATGGAATGAAATGAAATGGAGTGCAGTGGAGTGGAGTGGAAAGGAGTGGAATGGAACGGGATGGAATGGAAAGGAGTGGAGTGGACTGGAATGGAGTGGAGTAGAGTGGAGTGGAATTGATTGGAGTGGAGTGGAGTGGAATAGAATGGAATGGAATGAAATGGATGGTATTGTTCAATGAAATGTGAGCTGAGATTGTGCCACTGCCCTCCAGGCTGCTTGAAAGAGTGAGACACTCTCAAAAGAAAGGAATGGAATGGAATGCAGTGGAATGGAATGGAATGCAATGGAATGGAATGGAGTGGACTGGAGTGGAGTGGAGTGGAGTTGAGGGGAATGGAGAGGAACGTTATGTGATGGAATGGAATGAGATGGAGTGGAGTGGGGTGGACTGGAGTGGAGTGGAGTGGAATGGAGAGGAATGTTATGGGATGGAATGGAATGAGGTGGAGTGGAGTGGGGTTGAGTGGACTGCAGTGGAATGGAGAGGAATGGAATGGAATGGAGTGGAATGGAGTGGAGTGGAGAGAAGTGGAGTGGAGAGGATTGGAATGGAGTGTAACGGAAAAGGGTGTAATGGAATGTAGTGGAGTGCAGTGAAGTAGAGTGCAGCGGATTGGAAAGAATGGAATTGAATGGAATGGAAAGGAATGAAGTGGAAAGGAATGGAATGGAATGCAATGGAAAACAATGGAATGGAAGGCAATGCAATGGAAAGTTGACATGTAATGTGAGCTGCGATTGTACTACAGCACTCATTCCTAAGTGACAGAGTGACATCCTGTCGAAAGAAAGCAATGAAATGCAATGGACTGAAATGGAATGGAATGTATAGAATGGAATGGAGTGGAGTGGAGTGGAGTGGAGTGAAGTAGAATGGAGTCGAAAGGAATGGGATGGAGTGGAATGGAATGGAGTCGAGTGGTGTGGAGTGAAATAGAGTGGAATGGAATGGGATAGAATGTAATGGAATGGAATGGTGAAAAGAAATGTGAGCTGATATTGTGCCACTGCAATCCAGACTTTATGACAGAGTGAGATCCCGTGGAAAGAAAGTAATGCAATGCAATGGAGTGGAATGGAATGGAATGGAATGGAGTGGAGTAGGGTGGAATGGAGTAGAGTGGAATGGAGTGGAATGGAGTGGAGTGGAATGGAATCGAGTGGACAATAGTGGAGTGGAGTGGAATGGAATGGGGCGAAGTGTAGTGGAGAGCAATGCAGTGTAGTGCTATTGAGTGGAGTGGAGGGGAATGGAGTGTAGTGCACTGGACTGGAGTGGAGA
>NC_000024.10:11017247-11023374 GCF_000001405.40 Homo sapiens | reverse complement strand
ATGGCAGAGTGAGATCCTGTGGAAAGAACATAATGGAATGGAATGGAGTGGAATGGAATGAAATGGAGTGGATGGGGGGCGGGGGGGTGGGGGGGGAGGGGATGGAGTGGGCTGGCGGGGGATGGAGTGGGGTGGAGAGGAGTGGAATGGAATGGAGTGGAGTGGACTGGAGTGGAGTGGAGTGAAATGGCATGGAGTGGAGTGAGAGGAGTGGAATGGAGTGGAATGGATTGGAGTGGAGAGGAGTAGAATGGAATGGAGTGGAGTGGACTGGAGTGGAGTGGAGTGAAATGGCATGGAGTGGAGTTGAGTGGAGTGGAATGGAGTGGAGTAGAATTGAGTGGAATGGAGAGGAGTGCAGTGGAATGGAGTGTAGTGGATTGGAGTGGAGTGGAGTGGATTGGAATGGAATTGAGTGGAGTGGAGAGGAATGGAGTGGAGTGGAATGGAGTGGAGTGGAGTGGAATGGAGTGGAGAGGAATGGAATGGAATGGAATGGAAAAGAATGGAATGGAATAGAATGGTGAAAAGAAATGTGTGCTGAAATTGTGCCACTATGCTACAGCCTGTGGGACAGAGGGAGATCCTGTCAAAAGAAAGGAGTGTAATTGAAGGGATTGGAATGAAATGGAACGGCATGGATTGGAGTGTAGTGTAGTGGAATTGAGTGGACTGGGGTGGAGTGCCGTGGAATGGAATAGAATGGAAGAGAATGGAATGGAATGGAATGGAATGGTGAAAGGAAATGTGAGCTGAGATTGTGCAGCTGCACGCCAGTCTGGGTGTCAGTGTGAGATCTTGTCAAAAGAAAGGAATGGAATGGAATGGAATGGAATGAAATGAAATGGAGTGGAGAGGGGTGGAAAGGACTGGAATGGAAAGGGATGGAATGCAAAAAAGTAGAGTGGACTGGAATGGAGTGGTGTGGAGTGGAGTGGAATGGATTGGAGTGGAGTGGAGAGGAGTGGATTGGAATTGAATGGAAGGGAACGGAGTGGTGAAATGAAATGTGAGCTGAGATTGTGCCACTGCACTCCAGGGTGGATTACAGAGTGAGATACTCTCCAAAGAAAGAAAAGGAATGGAATGCAGTGGAATGGAATGGAATGGAGTGAACTGGAGTTGAGGCGAGTGGAGTGAAGTAGAGTGGAGTGGAACGGAAAGGAAGGGAATGGGATGGCATGGAAGGGAATGAAGAGGAGTGGAGTGCATTGGAATGGAATGGAATGGAATGGAATGGAATGGAATGGAATGGAATGGAGTAAAGTGGAATGGAATGGAGTGGAGTGGAGTGGAAAGGAGTGAGATAGAGTGGAATGGAGTGGAGAGGAGTGGAATGGAGTGGAGTGGAGTGGAATGGAATGGAGTAGAATGGAATGGAAGGGAGTGGGGTGGAGTGGAACGCTCTGGATTGGAGTGGAACGCTCTGGATTGGAGTGGAATGAAATGGAGTGGAGCGGAGGTTAATTGAGTGGGGTGGAATGGAGTGGAGTGGAGTAGAATAGACGGGAATGAAGTCGAATTGAATGGGGTGGAGTGGAATAAAATGGAGTGCAAAAGAGTAGAGTGGAAAGAAATAGAGTGGAATGAAAAGGGATGGAATGGAATGCAATGGAATGTTGGAAAGAAATGTGAGCTGAGATTGCGCCCCTGCACCCCTGACTTTTTGTGAAAGAGAGAGTTCCTGCGGAAAGAAAGGAATGGAATGGAATGGTGTGGAATGGAATGGAGTGGAGTGGAGTAGAGTGCAGTGGAGTCGAGTGGAGTGGAGTGGACTGGAATGGAGTTGAATGGAGTAGAGTGGAGTGGAGTAGAGTGGAATGTAATGTAATGTAATAGAATGAAATGGAATGGAATGGAATGGAGTAGGGAGGAGTGGAGTGGAATGGAATTGAATGGAGTGGGGTGGAGTGGAATGGAGTGGAGTGGTGTGGAATTGAGTGGGGTGGAATGGAGTGGAGTGGAGTGCAGTGGAGTGGAAAGGAGTCGAATGGAATGGGATGGAGTGGAATGGAATGCAGTAGAGAGGAGTGGAGTGGAGTGGAGTGAAATAGAGTGGAATGGAAAGGGATGGAATGGAATACAGTGGAAAGTTGGAAAGAAATGTGAGCTGAGATTGTTCAACTGCACTCCGGCCTTTGTTAAAGAGGGAGTTCCTGTGGAAAGAAAGGAATGGAATAGAATGGAGTGGAATGACATGAAGTGGAGTGGAGTAAAGTGGAGTAGAGTGGAGTGGAATGGAGTAGAGTGGAGTGGAGTAGAGTGTAATGTAATGTAATATAATGTAATGTAATATAATGTAATGTAATGGAATGTAATGGAATGGAATGGAAAGGAATGGAGTGGGGAGGAGTGGATTGGAATGGAATCGAAAGGAATGGAATGGAGTGGAGTTGAGTGGAGTGGACGGGAATGGAGTGGAGTGGAATATAATGGAATGGAGTAGAGTGGAATGGAATGGAGAGGAATGGAACGGAAATGAATGGAATGGAGTGAAGTGGAATGGAATGGAGTGGAGTGGCATGGAATGGAGTTTATTGGAGTGGAATGTAGTGGAGTGGAGTGGAATGGAATGGAATAGAGTGGAAAGGAATCCAGAGGTAGGGAGAGAAGAAGATTGGAGTGGAGTGGAGTGGCATGGAATGGAATGGAGTGGAACAGAGTGGAGTGGAGTGAAATAGAGTG
Organism: Homo sapiens; assembly: GCF_000001405.40. NCBI lineage: Eukaryota > Metazoa > Chordata > Mammalia > Primates > Hominidae > Homo > Homo sapiens. Next base: position 11,020,689 of record NC_000024.10, on the reverse strand, counting down.
GAATGCAATGGATGGAATGGAATGCAATGGAATGGAATGGTGAAAAGTAATGTGAGCTGAGATTGTGAGAGTGCATTCCAGCCTTTGTGACAGAGTGAGATCTTGTAGAAAGAAAGGAATGGAATGGAATTTATTGCAACGGAATGGTGAAAAGAAATGTGAGCTGCGATTGTGCCATTGCACTCCAGAATTTGTGACAGAGTGAGATCCTGTAGAAAGAAAGAATGGAATGGAATGGAGTGTAATGGAATGGAATGGAGAGGAGTGGATTGGAGTGAAGTGGGGTAGAGTGGAGTGTAGTGTAAAGGAGTGGGGTGGAGTAAAGTGGAATGGAGTGGATTGGAGTGTAGGGGAGTGTAGTGGAGTGGAATGGAGTGGAGTGGAGTGGAGGGGAGTGGAGTGGAATTCAGTGGGTTGGAGTGGAGTGCAGTGGAATGGAATGGAATGGTGAAATGAAATACGAGTTGAGATTGTGCCAATGCACACCAGCATGAATGACAGAGTGAGATCCTGTCAAAAGAAAGGAATGGAATGGAAAGGAGTAGAATGGAATGGAATGGAATGGAGTGGAGTGGAGTAGACTGGAGTGGAGAGGTAAGGAGTGGAATGGAATGAAATGGTATGAAATGGAATGGAATGGAATGGAATGGAGTGGAACGGCATGGTAATGAAATGTGAATGGAGTTTGTGCCATTGCGCTCCAGGTTGGGTGACAGAATGAGATACTCTCAAAAGAAAGGAAAGGAAGGGAATGCAAGGGAATGGAATTTAATGGAGTGGACTGCCGTAGAGTGGAATGGAGTGCAGTGGAGTAGAGTGGAATGGAGAGGACTGGAAAGGGATGGAAAGGAATGAAATGAATTGGAGTGGAGTTGGGTGGAGTGGAGTGAAGTGGAATGGAGCGGAATGGAAAGGGATTGACTGGAATGGAGTGGAGTGGTGTGCAGTGGGGTGGAGAGGAGTGGAATGGAGTGGAATGGAATCAGAAGTAATGAAAAATTGTGGAGTGGAGTAGAACGGAATGGAATTTAATACAATTGAATGGAATGGAATGGAATTCAATGCAATGCAATAGAATGCAATGCAATGGAATGTTGACATGTAGTGTGAGCTGAGATTGTGCCACTGCACTCAAGCATGGGTGACACAATGATATCCTGTCTAAAGTAAGGAATGGAATGCAATGGAGTGAAATGGAATAGAATGGAATGGAGTGGAGTGGAATTTAGTGGAGTGGAGTGGAGTGGAATGGAGTGGAGTGGAGTGGAGTGGAATGGAGTGTACTGGAACGGAGTGGAATGGAATGGGATGGAATGGAACGGAATGGAGAGGAGTGGACTGGAATGGAGTGGAATGGATTGGTATGGAGTGGAGATGAATGGAATAGAATGGAATGGAATGGGATGTAATGGAATGGAATGAAGTGGAGTGGATTGGGGTGGAATGGTGTGCAGTGGAATGGAACCGAATGGAATGGGATGGAGGGTAATGGAGTGGAGTTGAGTGAAGTGGAGTGGAGAGGAGTGGAATGGATTGGAATGGAATGTAGTGGAGTGGAGTGGACTGGAAAGGAGTAGAATGGAATGGAATTTAATGGAATAGAATGGAATGGAATGGTGAAATGAAATGTAAGCTGCGATTGTGCCACTGCATTCTAGGCTTGGGAACAGAGTGAGATACTTTCAAAAGAAAGGAATGGAATGGAATGGATTAGAATGGAATGCAATGGAATGCAATGAAATAGAGTGGACAGCAGTGGAGTGGAGTGAAGTGGATTGGAGGGGAATGGAGAGGAATGGAATGGGATGTAATGGAATGTAATGAAGTGGAGTGGATTGGGGTGGAGTGGAGTGCAGAGGAATGGAACCGAAAGGAATGGGATGGAGGGTAATGGAGTGGAGTGGAGTGGAGTGGAGAGGAGTGGAATGGATTGCAATGGAATGTAGTGGAGTGGAATGGAGTGGAACGGAGTGGAATGGAATGGGATTTAATGGACTAGAATGGAATGGAATGGAATAGAATGGAAAGCAAAGGAATGCAATTAAATAGAAGGCAATGTAATGGAATGTTAACAGGTAATGTGAGCTGAGATTGTGCCACTGCACTCCAACTGGGGTGACACAGTGATATCTTGTTGAAAGAAAGGAATGGAATGCAATGGAGAGCAATGGAATGGAATTGAGTGGAATGGAGTGGATTGGAGTAGAATGGCATGGAATGGATTGAAATGGGATAGAGTGGAGTGGAGTGGGGTGGAGTGAAAGAGAGTGGAATGGAATGGGATGGAATGGAATACAACGGAATGGTGTAAAGATAGGTAAGCTTAGATTTTGCCCCTGTACTACAGCCTTTGTGAAAGAGAGAGATCCAGTGGAAAGAAAGAAATGGAATGGAATGGTGTTGAATGGAATGGAGTGGAGTGGAATGGAGTGGAGTGGAGTGGAATGGAGTGGAGTGAAATGGAGTGGAGTGGAATGGATTCGAGTGGGGTGGAATAGAATGCAATGGAGTGGAGTGGAGTGGACAGAAATGGAGTGGAAAGAAGTGCAGTGGAGTGGAGTGGAGTGGGATGGGGTGGAGTGCAGTGGAATTGCGTGGAATGGAATCGAGTGGAGAGGAGTGGATTGGAGTGGAGTGGAGTGGAATAGAGTAGATTGGAATGGAGTGGAGTGGAGTGGCATGGAGTGGAATGGACTGTAGGGGAGTGGAGTGGAACGAAGCAGAACGGAATGGAACGGAATAGAACAAAACGGAATGGAACACAATGGAATGGTGAAAAGAGATGTGTGCTGAGATTGTACCACTAAGCTACAGCCCATGTGACAGAGGGAGATTCTGTCAAAAGAAAGGAGGGGAATAGAAGGGATTGGAATGTAATGGAATGGAATGGACTGAAGTGGAGTGGAGTGGAATTGAGTGGCATGGAGTGGAGTGCAGTGCAATGGAATGGAATGGAATGCTGAAAGGAAATGTGAGCTGGGATTGAGCCACTGCACACCAGCCTGGATGACAGAGTGAGATCCTGTCAAAAGAACGGAATGGAATGGAATGGATTGGAATGGAATCGAATGGAGTGGAGTGGAGTGGAGTGATGTGGATTGGAGTGGAATGGAGAGGAATGGAATGGGATGGAATGGAATGGAATAGAATGAAATGGAGTGGATTGGGCTGGAGTGGAGTGCAGTGGAATGGAACCGAATGGAATGGGATGGAGTGAAATGGAGTGTAGGGGAGTGGAGAGGAATGAAATGGAGTGGAATGGAATCGGATGTAATGGAATGTAGTTGAGTGGAGTGGAGTGGAGTGGAACGGAGTGGAGTGGAATGGAGTTTAATGGAATAGAATGGAACGTAATGGAATGGAATGGTGAAATGAAATGTGAGCTGAGATTGTGCCGCTGAGCTCTAGGCTTGGTAACAGAGTGAGGTACTCTAGAAAGAAA
>NC_000024.10:11013046-11016992 GCF_000001405.40 Homo sapiens | reverse complement strand
GTGGAGAGGATTAGAATGGAGTGGAATGGAATCAGATGTAATGGAATGTAGTTGAGTTTAGTGGAGTGGAGTGGAACGGAGTGGAATGGAATGGAATTGAATGAAATGGAATGGAACAAAATGGAATGGAATGGAATGGAATGCAATGGAATGCAATTGAATAGAATGCAATGAAATGTAAGTTGACACATAATGTAAGCTGAGATTGTGCCACTGCACTCCAACCTGTGTGACACAGTGATATCTTGTCAAAAGAAAGGAAGGGAATGCAATGGAGTGAAATGGAATGGAATAGAATGGAATGGAATGGAGTTGAGTGGAGTGGAGTGGATTGGAGTCGAATGGCATGGAATGGAGAGAAATGGGATAGAGTGCAGTGGAGTGGAGTGAAATAGAGTGGAATGGAAAGGGATGGAATGGAATGCAATGGAATGGTGTAAAGATAGGAGAGGTTAGATTGTGCAACTGCACTACAGCCTTTGTGACAGAGAGAGATCCGGTGGAAAGAAAGGAATGGAATGGAATGACTTGGAATGGAATGAAGTGGAGTGGAGTAGAGTGGAAGGGAGTGGAGTGAAATGGAGTGCAGTGGAATGGAGTGGAGTGGAGTGGAATGGAAGGCAGTGGAGTGGAGTGGACTGGAGTGGAGTGGAATGGAGTGCAGTGGAATGGAGTGCAGTGGAGTGGAGTGGTGTGGAGAGGAGTGCAGTGGAATCGTGTGGAATTGAATGGAGTGGAGAGGAGTGGATTGGATTGGAGTGGAGTGGAATGGAGTAGACTGGAATGGAGTGGAGTGGAGCGGAGTGGAATGGAATTGATTGGAATGAAGTTTAAGGGAGTGAAGTGGAACGGAGCAGAATATAATGGAACGGAATGGAACGGAAACGAACAGAACACAATCGAATGGCGAAAAAAAAAATGTGTGCTGAGATTGTGCCACTAAGCTACAGCCCACGTGACAGAAGAAGATCCTGTCAAAAGAAAGGAGTGGAATAGAAGGGATTGGAATGTAATGGAATGGAATGTACTGAAGTGGAGTGGAGTGGAATTGAATGGCATGGAGTGGAGTGCAGTGGAATGGAATGGAATGGAATGGAATGGAATGGAATGGAATGGAATGGAATGGTGAAATGAAATTGAGTTGAGATTGAGCCACTGCACACCAGCTTGGGTGACAGAGGGAGATCCTGTCAAAAGAAAGGAATGGGATGGAATGGAGTGGAATGGAATGGAGAGGACTGGAGTAGCGTGGAGTGGAGTGGAAAGGAGTGGAATGGAATGGGATGGAATGGAAATGAGTGGAGTGGACTGGAATCGAGTGGAGTGGATTGGAGTAGAATCAATTGGAGTGGAGAAGAGAGGAGTGTAGTGTAGTGGAATCCAATGGAATGGAAAGGAATGGAGTAGAATGGAATGGTGAAATGAAATGTGAGCTGAGATTATGCCACTGCGCTCCAGGCTGGGTGACACAGTGAGATACTCTCGAAAAAAGGAATGGAATGGAATGCTATGGAATGGAATGGAATGGAATGCAATGGAATGCAATGGAATATAATGCCATGTAATTGAAAGTTGGCATGTAATGTGAGATGAGATTGTGCCACTGCATTCCAGCCTGGGGGAAAGAGTGTTATCCTGTCGAAAGAAAGAAATGGAATGCAAAGGAGTGAAATGGAATGGAAAGGAATGGAAGGGAGTGGAATGGATTGAAATGGAGTGAAGTGGAGTGGAATGGAGTCGAATGGAATGGGATGGAGTGAAATGGATGGAGTGGAGTGCAGTGAAGTGGAGTGGAGTGGAATGGAGTGGAATGGAATGGGATATAATGGAATGGAGTGGAGTGGAGTGCAGTGGAGTGGACAGGAGTGGAATGAAGTGGAATGGAATCGGATGTAATCGAATGTAGTAGAGTGGAGTGGAGTGGAACGAAGTGGAATGGAATGGAATTGAATGGAACAGAATGGAGTGGAATGGAATGGAATGGAATAGAATGGAATGCAATGGAACAGAACACAACACAATGGAAAGTTGACATGTAATGTGAGCTGAGATTGTGACACTGCGCAGCAGCCTGGGAGACACAGTGATATCCTGTCAAAAGGAAGGAATGGAATGCAATGGAGTGAAATTGAATGGGATGGAATGGAATGGAATGGAATGAAGTGGAGGGGATTGGGGTGGACTTGAGTGCAGTGTAATGGAGCCGAGTGGAATGGGATGGAGTGGAATGGAGAGGACTGGAGTGCAGTGGAGTGGAGAGGAGTGCAATGGAGTGGAATGGAATGTAGTGGAGTGGAGTGGAGTGGAGTGGAGGGAATGGAGTAAAATGGAATGGAATTGAATGGAATAGAATGGAAAGGAATGGAATGGAATGGTGAAATGAAATGTGAGCTGAGATTGTGCCACTGCACTCTAGGCTTTGTAACAGACTGAAATACTCTCGAAAGAAAGGAATGGAATGGAATAGAGTGGAATGGAATGGAATGGAATAGAGTGGAATGGAATGGAATGGAATGGAATGGAATGGAATGGAATGGAATGGAATGGAATGGAATGGAATTGAATGGAGTGGAGTGGAGTGGAGTGGAGTGGAGTGGAGTGGAGTGGAGTGGAGTGGAATGGAGTGGAGTGGAATGGAATGGAATGGAATGGAATGGAATGGAATGGAATGCAACGGAACAGAATGGAATGCAATAGAAAGATGACATGTAATGCGAGCTGAGATTGTGCCACTGCACTCCAGCCTGGTTGACACTGTGATATCCCGTCGAAAGAAAGGAATGAAATGCAATGGTGTGAAGTCGAATGGAATGTAATGTAACGGAGTGGAATGGAGTGGAGTGGATTGGAGTCTAATGTAATTGGATGGAGTGGAATGGAATGGAGTGGAGTGGAGTGAGGGGAAATAGAGTGGAATGGAATGGAATAGAATGGAATTGAACACAATGGAATAGTGAATAGAAATGTGAGCTGAGATTGTACCATGGAAATCCATCCTTTATGACAGAGTGAGATCTTGTGGAAAGAAAGGAATGGAATGGAATGGAATGGAATGGAATGGAGTGGAGTGGAGTAGAGGGGAGTAGAGTGGAATGGAGTGCAGTGGAGTGGAGTTGAATGAAGTGGAGTGGAGTGGAGTGGAACGGAATGGAGTGGAGTGGAGTAGAGGGGACTGGAGTGGAGTGGAGAGAATGGAGTGGAGAGGAATGGGATGGAGTGAAGTGGAGTGGAGTGGAGTTGAATGGAGCAGACTGGAGTTGAGTGGAGTGGATTGGAATTGAATGGACTGGAATTGTTTGGAGTGGAGTGGAGTGGAATAAAATTGACTGGAGTGAAGCGAAATGCCATTGAATGGAATGGAATGGAATGGTGAAATGAAATGTGAGCTAAGATTGTGCCACTGCACACAAGCCTGTGTGACAGAGTGAGATCCTGTCAAAATAAAGGAATGTAATGGAATGGAGGGGAATGGAATGGGATGGAGGGGAGTGGAGTGGAGTGGAAAGGAGTGGATTGGAATGAGTTGGAATAGAAAGAAGTGGAGTGGACTAGAATGGAGAGGAATGGAGTGGAGTGGAATGGATTGGAGTGGAGTGGAGGAGTGGAGTGGAATGGAATGCAATAGAATGGTGAAATGAAAGGGGACCTGAGATTTGCTACTGTGCTCCAGGATGGTTGACAGAGTGAGGTACTCTAAAGGGAAAGAAATGGAAGGGAATTTAGTGGAAGGGAATGGAATGGAATGGAATGGAATGGAATGGAATGGAATGGAATGGAATGGAATGGAATGGAATAGTGAAATAAAATGTGAGCTGTGATTGTGCCATTAAGTTCCAGCCTGGATGACAAAGTGAGATACTCTCAAAAGAAAGGAATGGAATGGAATGTAGTTGAATGGAATGTAATGGAATGTAATGGAGTGGATTGGAGTGGAGTGGAGTGGAGT
>NC_000024.10:11003059-11012528 GCF_000001405.40 Homo sapiens | reverse complement strand
TGAACGGAATGAAGTGGAGAGGAGTGGGGTGGACTGGAGTGTAGGGCAATGGAGAGGAGTGAAATGGGATGGAGTGGATTGGAGTGGAGTGAAGTGCAGTGGAGTAGAGAGGAGTGGAATGGAGTGTAATGGAATAATATATAATGGAATGTAGTGGAGTGGAGTTGAGTGAAGTGGAATGGAGTGCAAAGGAATGGAATGGAATGGAATGGAATGGAATGGAATGGAATGCAATGGAATGGAATGGAAGGGAATGGAATGGAAAGGAATGCAATGGAATGCAACGGAAGCAATGAAATGCAATCGAAAGTTGACATGTAATGTCAGCTGAGATTTTGCCACTGCATTCCAGCCTGGGGGACACAGTGATATCCTGTCAAAAGAAGGGAATGAAATTAAATGGAGTGAAATGGAATGTAATAGAATGGAGTGGAGTGGAGTGGCGTGAAATAGAGTGGAATGGAAAGGGATGGGAAGGAATGCAATGTTATGGTGTAAAGAAATGTGAGCTGAGATTGTGTCACTGCATTCCAGCCTTTGTGACAGAGAGAGATCCTGTGGAAAGAAAGGAATGGAATGGAGTGGAATGGAATGGAATGGAGTGGAGTGGAGGTTTGTGGAGAGGAATGGAAAGGAATGGAATGCAGTTGAGTGTAATGGAATGCAATGGAATGGATTGGAAAGGAGTGGAGTGGAGTGGAGCGAAGTGGAATGGAGTGGAGTGGAATGGAATGGAGTGAAGTGGACTGGAGTGGAGTGGATTGGAATGCAGTGGAGTGAAACAGTGGAGTGGACTGGAATAGAGTGGAATGGAGTGGAATGGATTGGAACAGAGTGGAGTGGAGTGGAGTGGGATGGAGTGGAGTGGAATGGATTGGATTGGAGTGGAGTGGAGTGGAATGAATAGAGTTGAGTGGAGTGAAATGGAATGGAGTGGAGTGGAATGGATTGGATTGGAGGCGAGTGGACTGGATTGGAGTGGAGTTGAGTGTAATGTAATGTAATGTAATGGAATGCAATGGAATGGAATGTAATGGAATGGAATGGAATGGAATGGAATGGAATGTTGAAAAGAAATGTGTGTTGATATTGTGCCACTACGCTACAGCCTGTGTGACAGAGAGAGATCCTGTCGAAAGAAAGGAGTTGAATGGAAGGGAATGGAATGGAATGGGATGAAATGGAATGAAGTGGAGTGGAGTGCGTTGCTGTGGATTGCAGTGGAATGGAGTGGAATGGAATGGGATGTAGTGGAATGGAGTGGAGTGGAGTGCTGTGGAGTAGAGAGGAGTGGAATGGAGTGCAATGGAATCACATGTAATGGAAAGTAGTGGAATGGAGTGGAGTGGAGTGGAATGGAGTGGAAACGAATGGAATTGAATGAAAAGGAATGGAATGGAATGGAATGCATTGGAATGGATTGCAATGATATGCAATGGAATAGAATGCAATGCAATGAAAAGTTGACATGTAATGCGAGCTGAGATTGTGCCACTACACTCCAGCCTGGGTGACACCATGATATCCAGTCTAAGGAAAGGAATGGAATGCAATGGTGTGAAATCCAATAGAATGGAATGCAATGGAGTGGAATGGAAAGGAGTGGAGTGGAGTGGAGTGAAATAGAGTGGAATGGAATGGGATGAAATGGAAAGCAATGGAATGGTGAAAAAAATGTGAGCTGAGATTGTACCACTGAACTCCATCCTTTTTGACATAGTGAGATCCTGTGGAAAGAAAGGAATGGAATGGAACGGAATGAAATGGAATGGAGTGGAGTGGAGTGGAGTAGAGGGGAGTAGAGTGGAATGGAGTGCTGTTGTGTGGAGTCAATGAAGTGGAGTGGAGTGGAATGGAATGGAGTGGAATGGAGTGGATTAGAGGGGACTGGAGTGGAGTGGAGTACAATGGAGTGGAGTGGAATGGGATGGAGTGAAGTGGAGTGGAGTGTAGTTGAATGGAGCGGACTGGAGTGGAGTGGATTTGAATGGAATGGAATGAAATGGTTTGAAGTGGAGTGGAGTAAAATTGATTGGAGTGGAGTGAATGGAATGATGAAACGAAATGTGAGCTAAGATTGTGCCACTGCACACAAGCCTGGGTGACAGAGTGAGATACTGTCAAAATAAAGAAATGGAATGGAATGGAGTGGAATGGAACGGGATGGAGGGAGTGGAGTGGAGTGGAAAGGAGTGGATTGGAATTAGATGGAATGGAAAGAAGTGGAGTGGACTAGAATGGAGAGGAGTGGAGTGGAGTGGAATGGATTGGAGTGGAGTGGATTGGAGTGGAATGGAATGGAATGTTGAAATGAAATGGGACTGAGATTGTGCCACTGTGCTCCAGGCTGGGTGACAGAGTGAGATAATCTCGAGGGAAAGGAATGGAATGGAAAGCAGTGAAATGGAATGGAATGCAGTGGACAGGAGTGCAGTGGAGTGGAGTGAAATGGAGAGGAATAGAATGGGATGAAATGAAATGGATTGAAGTGGAGTGGAGTGGGGTGGAGGGGAGTAGAGGGGAATGGAGTGGAATTGAATGGGATCGAGTGGAATGGAGTGGAGTGGAGTTCAGTAGAGTGGAGAGGAGTGGAATGGAGTGGAATGGAATCTGATGTAACGGAATGTGGTGTGGTGTAGTGGAATAGAGTGGAACAGAGTGGAATGGCATGGAATGGCATGGCATGGCATGGAATGGCATGGCATGGCATGGAATGGAATGGAATGAATGGAGTGGAATGGAATGGAATGGAGTGGAATGGAATGGAATGGACTAGAATGGAATGGAATTGAATGAAATGGAAGAGAGTGCAATATAATGGAAAGCTGACGTGTACTGTGAGCTGAGATTGTGTCACTTGAATCCAGCCTGGCTGACACAGTGATATCCTGTCAAAGGAAAGGAATGGAATGCAATGGAGTGAAATAGAACGGAATGGAAAGTAATGGAATGGAGTGGAGTGAAGTGGAATGGAGTCAGATGGAATGGGAAGTAGTGGAATGGAACGGAGTGGAGAGGATGGGAGTGGAGTGATATGGAGTGGAAAGGAATAAGATGGAATGGAATGGTGAAAAGAAATCTGAGCTGAGATTGAGCCACTGCACATCAGCCTTTGTGACAGAGTGAGATCCTGTGGAAAGAAAGGAATGGAATGGAGTGGAACAGAATGGAATATAGTGGAGTGGAGTGGGATGGATTGGAGTGGAACGGAGGGAAGTGGAGTGGAGTGGAGTGGAATGGAGTGGAGTGCAGTGAAGTGGAATGGAATGGAATTGAACGAATGGAATGAAAAGGAATGGAATGATGAAATGAAATGTGAGCTGTGATTGTGCTACTGAACTCCTGGCTGGGTGACAGAGTGAGATACTGTCGAGAGAAAGGATTGGAATGGAATGCTGAGGAATGGAATGGAATGCAGTGGAATGGAATGGAGTGGAGTGGAATGGAGTGGATTGTAGTGGAGTAGAGTGGAATGGACTGGAGTGGAATGGAGTGGATTGTAGTGGAGTAGAGTGGAATGGAGTGGAGTGGAATGGAGTGGATTGTAGTGGAGTGGAAGTGGATTGTAGTGGAATGGATTGGAATTGAGTGGAGTGGAATGGAGTGGAGGGGAGGGCAGTGGAGTGGAATGGAGTTGAGTGCAATAGAGTGGAGAGGATTAGAGTGCATTGGAATAGAGTGAAGTGGAATGGAATGGAGTGGAGTTAAGTGCAGTGAAGTGGAATGGAGTTGAGTGGAGTGGAGTGGAGTGGAACGAAATTGAATGGAATGGAATGGAACGGAATGGAATGCAATGGAATGGAAGAGAATGGGAGAGAATGGTGAAAATAAATGTGTGCTGAGATTGTGCCAGTACGCTACAGCCTGTGTGACAGACGGAGATCCTGTCAAAAGGAAGGAGTGGAATAGAAGGGATTGAAATGGAATGGAATGAAATAGATTGGAGTGGAGCGGAGAGGAATTGAGTGGAGTAGAATGGAGTGCAGTGGAATGGAATGGTATGGAATGGATTGGAGTGGATTTTAGTGGAGTGGAGTGAAGTGGACTATAGTGGAATGGAGAGGAATGGAATGGGATGAAATGGAATGAAGTGGAGAAGTGTGGAATAGAGTGGAGAGGAGTGGAATGGAATGGAATGGTGAAACGAAATGTGAGCTGAGATTGTGCCACAGTGCTCCAGGCTGGTTGATAGAGTGAGATACCCTAGAAAGAAAGGAATGGAATGGAATGCCGTGGAATGAAATGGAATGGAGTGGACTGAAGAATAGTGGAGGAGAGTGAAATGGAGTGGAGTGGAATGGAGAGGAATGGAATGGGACTGAATGGATTGGAATGGAATGAAGTGGAATGGAGTGGGGTGGAGTGGACTGCACTTGAATGGTGCGGAATGGAATGGAACAAAGGGGAGTGGTGTGCAGTGGAGTGGACAGGAGTGGAATGGAGTGGAACGCAATCAGATGTAATGGAATGTAGTGGAGTGGAGTGCAGTGGAGTGGAATGGAGTAGAATGGAATGAATGGAATGGAATGTACTGCAGTGTAGTGCAGTGGAGTGGAATGGAGTGGAATAGAATGGAATTGACTGGAATGGAATGCAATGTAGTGGAAGGCAACGGAAGAGAATGCAATGCAATGGAAAGTTGACATGTAATGTGAGCTGAGATTGTGCCACTGCACTCCAGCCTGGGTGACACAGTGATAGCTAGTCGAAAGAAAGGAATGGAATGCAATGGAGTGAAATGGAATGGAAACGAATGGAATGCAATGGAGTGGAGTGGAGTGGAGTGGAATGGAGTCGAAAGGAAAGGTATGGGGTGGAACCGAATGGAGTGGAGTGGAGTGGAATGGAGTGAAACAGAGTGGAATGGAATGGGATGGAAAGGAATACAACAGAATGGTGAAAAGAAATGTGCTGAGATGGTGCCACTGCACTCCAGCATTTGTGACAGAGTGAGATCCTGTGGAAAGAAAGGAATGGAATGGAGTGGAGTGGCATGGAATGGAGTGGAGTGGAATGGAGTGGAAAGGAGTGGATTGGAGTGGAGTGGAGTGGAATAGAATGAAGTGGAATGGAGTAGAATGGAGTGGAGTGGAGGGGAATTCAGTGGAGTGGAATGGAGTGGAGTGGAATGGAGTAGAGAGGAGTGGACTGAAATGGAATTGAATGGAGTGGACTGGAGTGGAGTGGATCGGAGTGGAATAGAGTGGAGTGGAGGGGAGTGGAGGGGAGTGGAGGGGAGTGGAAGGGAGTGTAGTGGAATGGAATGTGATGGAATGGAATGGAATTAAGTGGAGTGGAGTTGAAAGATGTGGGATGGAGTGGAATGAAATGGATTGGAATGTAGTGAAATAGAGTGGAATGGAATGGGATGGAATGGAAAGCAATGGAATGGTGAAAAGAAATGTGAGATGGGATTGTACTACTGAACTACAGCCTTTTTGACAGAGCGGGGTCATGTGAAAAAAAAGGAATGGAATGGAATGGAGTGGAGTGGAGAGGAGGGAAGTAGAGTGGAGTGGAGTAGAGTGGATTGAACTGGAGTGGAATGGAGAGGAAAGAAATGGGATGGAAGGTGATGCATTGAAGAGGAGTAGAGTGGGTTGGAGTGCAATGGGATGGAATGGAATGGAATGAAGTGGACTGATGTGGAGTGGAGTGAAGTGGAGTGGAGTGGAATGGAGAGGAATGGAATGGAATGAAGTAGAGTGGAGTGGGGTGGAATGGAGTGAAGTGGAATGGAGCAGAATTAAATAGGATGGAGTTGAATATATTGGAGTGGAGCGCACTGGAGTGGAGAGGAGTGGAATGGAGTGGAAGAGAGTTGGATGAAATGGAATGTAGTGGATTGGAGTGGAGTGGAGTGGAATGGAACGGAGTGGAATGGAATGGAATGGAATGGAATGCATTGGACTAGAACGCAATGGAAAGGAAAGTTGACATGTAATGTGAGCTGAGATTGTGCCACTGCACTCCAGCCTCGGTGACACAGTGATATCCTGTCTAAAGAAAGGAATGGAATGCAATGGAGTGAAATGGAATGGAATGGAGTGGAGTGCAGTGCAGTGGAGTGGAATGGAGTGTAGTGTAGTGTAATGGAGTGGAGTGGAGTTGAGTTGAGTGGAGTGAAATGGAGTGGAGTGGAGTGGAACAGAATAGAATGTAATGTAATGGAATAGAATGGTGAAATGAAATGTGAGCTGAGATTGTGCCACATCGCTCCAGGGTGGTTGAAAGAGTGAGATACCCTCGAAAGAAAGGAATCTGATGGAATCCCAGGGGATGGAATTAAATGGAGTGGACTGGAGAGGAGTGGAGTGAAGTGGAGTGGAGTGGAATGGAGAGGATTGGAACGGGACAGAATGGAATGGAATCAATTGGAGTGGGGTGGGGTGGAGTGAAGTTGAATGGAGTGGAAGGAAATGGAATGGAATGGAATGGAATGGAGTGGAGTGCAGTGGAGTGGAGAGGAGTGGAACGGAGTGCAACGGAATCTGATGTAATGGAATGTAATGGACTGGAGTGGAGTGGAGTTGAATGGAGTGAAATGGAATGGAATGGAAAGGAATGCAGTGGAATGCAATGGAATAGAATGTAATGCAAAGGTAAGTTGACATGTAATGTGAGCTGAGATTGTGCCACTGCACTCCAGACTGGGTGAAACAGTGACAGCATGTTGAAAGAAAGGATTGGAATGCAATGGAGTGAAATGAAATGGAATGGAACGGAAAGCAATGGAGTGGAGTGGAGTGGAGGGGAGTGGAATGGATTCTAATGGAAAGGGATGGAGTGGAATGTAATGGAGTGTACTGGAGTGGAATGGACTGAAATAGAGTGGAATGGAATGGGTTTTAAAGGAATGCAATAGAATGGTGAAAAGAAATGTGCACTGAGATTCTGCCACTGCACTCCAGTATTTGTGACAGAGTGAGATCCTGTGGAAAAAAAAGGAATTGAATGGAGTGGAGTGGAATGGAATGGAGTGGAGTGAAGTGGAGTGGAGTGGAGGGAGTGGAATGGAGTGGAGTGGAATGGAGTGGCGTGGAGTGGAATGCAGTGGAATGGAATGGAGTGGAGTGGAGTGGAATGGAATGGAGAGGAGCGGAGTGGAGTGGAAAGGAGAGGAATGGCATGGGACAGAATGGAATGGAATGAAATGAAGTGGAGTGTAGCAAAGTGGGATGGAGTTGAGTGGAATGCATTGGAGTGGAGTGGAGTGGAATGAGTGGAGTAGCGTGGATGAAATGGAACGGAATGGAGGGGAACGGAGTGGAGTGGAGCAGAATGGACTGGGGTGTAGTGGAGTAGAGTGGATGGAATGGAACGATATAGAATGGAATGGAATGGAATGGAGTGGAATGAAATGGAATGGAATGGAATGGTGAAAAGAAATGTGTGTTGAGATTGTACCACTATGCTACAGCCTGTGTGACAGAGAGAGTTCCTGTTGAAAGAAAGGAGTGGAATGGAAGGGATTGGAATGTAATGGGATGAAATGGAATGAAGTGGAGTGGAGTGGGGTGGAGAGGATTGCTGTGGAATGGAGTGGAATGGAATGGAATGTAGTGGAATGGAGTGGAGTGGAATGCTGTGGAGTGGAGAGGAGTGGAATGGAGTGGAATGGAATCACATGTAATAGAATGTAGTGGGGTGGATTGGAGTGGAGTGGAACGGATTGGAAAGGAATGGAATTGAATTAAAAGGAATGGAATGGAATGGAATGGAATGCACTGGAATGGAATGGAATGGAATGGAATGCAATGTAATAGAATTCAATTCAATGGAAAGTTCACATGTAATTTGACCTGAGATTCTGCCACTGCACTCCAGTCTGGGTGACACCGTGATATCCCTTTGAAACAAAGGAATGGAATGCAATGGTGTGAAATCGAATGGAAAGGAATGGAATAGGGTGGAATGGAGTGGAGTGGAGTGAAATAGAGTAAAATGGAACGTGATGGAATGGAAAGCAATGGAATGGTGAAAAGAAATGTGAGCTGAGATTATACCACTGAACTCCAGCCTTTTTGACAGAGTGAGATCCGGTGGAAAGAAAGGAATGGAATGGAATGGAATGGAATGGAATGGAATGGAATGGAATGGAATGGAATGGAATGGAATGGAATGGAATGGAATGGCATGGAATGGAGTGGAGTGGCTTGGAGTGGAGTGGAGGGGATTAGGGTAGAATGTAGTGGAGTGGAGTATAGGGGAGTGAAGTGGAGTGGAATGGAGAGGAAAGGAATGGGATCGAAGGGAATGCAATGAAATGAAGTGGAGTGGGGTAGATTGGAATAGGATGGAATGGAATGGAATGAAGTGGACTAGAGTGGTGTGGAGTGAAGTTGAGTGGAGAGAAATGGAGAGGAATGGAATGGGAAAGAATGGAATGGAATGAAGTGTAGTGGAGTGGAGTGCAGTGGAATGGAGTGGAATTAAATAGGATTGAGTGTAATATATTCGAGGGGAGTGCAGTGGAATGGAGAGGAGTGGAATGGAGTGGAAGGGAGTTGGATGAAATGGAATGTAGTAGATTGGAGTGGAGTGGAGTGGAAAGGAATGGAGTGGAATGGAATGGAGTTGAATGGAATGGAATGGAATGGAATGGAATATAATGCAATGCAATGAAAAGTTGACATTTCATGTGAGTTGAGGTTGTGCCACTGCACTCCAGCCTGGGTGACACAGTGATATCCTGTCCTAAGAAAGGAATGGAATGC
Organism: Homo sapiens; assembly: GCF_000001405.40. Classification (NCBI taxonomy): domain Eukaryota; kingdom Metazoa; phylum Chordata; class Mammalia; order Primates; family Hominidae; genus Homo; species Homo sapiens. Next base: position 11,003,811 of record NC_000024.10, on the reverse strand, counting down.
AATGGAGTGAAACGGAATGCAAAGGAGTGGAGTGGAATGGAGTGGAGTGGAGTGGAGTGGAGTGGAGTGGAGTGGAGTGGAGTGGAGTGGAATGGAGTTGAGTGGAGTGGAACGGAATGGAATGGAACAGAATGGAACAGAATGAAACGGAATGGAATGGAGAAAAGAAATGTGTGCTGAGATGGTGCCTCTATGCTACAGCCTGTGTGACAGAGGAAGATCCTGTCGAAAGAAAGGAGTGGAATGGAAGGGATTGGAATTCCATGAAATGGAATTAATTTTGGTGGAATGGAGTGGAATTCAGTGGAGTGGATTGGAGTGCAGTGGAATGGAACGCAATGGAATGGAATGGAATGGTAAAATGAAATGTGAGCTGAGATGATGCCACTCCACAACAGCCTGAGTGACAGAGTGAGATCCTGTCAAAAGAAAGGAATAGAATGGAATGGAGTGGAATGGAATTGAATGCAGTGCAGTGCAGTGTAGTGGAGTGGAAAGGAGTGGAATGGATTGGGATTGAATGGAAAGGAGGGGAGTGGCCTGGAATGGAGTGGAGTGGAGTAGAATGGACTGGAGTGGAGTGGAGTGGAGTGGAGAGGAATGGAATGGAATGGTATGGAATTGAATGGTGAAATGAAATGTGAGCAGAGATTGGGCCTCTGCGCTCCAGGCTGGGTGACAGAGTGAGATAATCTCGAAAGAAAGGAATGGAATGGAATGCAGTGCATCGGAACGGAATCGAATGGAGTGGA
>NC_000024.10:10986677-11002276 GCF_000001405.40 Homo sapiens | reverse complement strand
TGGAATGGAATGGAATGGAATGGAATGGAATGCAATGCAATGCAATGCAATGCAGTGTAATAGAATGCAAGGCAATGGAAAGCTGATATGTAATGTTAGCTGAGATTGTGCCACTGTACTCCAGCCTGGGGGACACAGTGATATCCTGTCAAAAGAAAAGAATGAAATGCAATGGAGTGAAATGAAATGTAATGGAAAGGAATGGAATGGAGTGGAGTGGAGTGGAATGGAGTGCAGTGCAGTGGAGTGCAGTGGAATGGAGTCGAATGGAATGGAACGGAGTGAAATGGAATGGAGTGGAGTGGAGTGGAGTGGAGTGAAATAGAGGCGAATATAATGGAATGGAATGGAATGGAATGGAATGGAATGGAGTGGAATGGTGAAAAGAAATGTGAGCTGAGATTGTGCCAATGCACTCCAGGCTTTGTGACAGAGTGAGATCCTGTGGAAAAAAAGGAATGGAATTGAATGGCGTGGAATGGAAGGGAATGGGGTGGAGTGGAGTGGGGTGCAGTGGAGTGCAGTGGAATAGAGCAGAATGAAATGGAATGGAATGGTGAAAAGAAATGTGTGCTGAGACTCTGCCACTATGCTACAGCCTGTGTGACAGAGGGACATACTGTGAAAAGAAAGAAATGAAATGGAAAGTAATGGAATGGAACAGAATGGAATGGAATGGATTGGAGTGTAGTGGAGTGGAATTGAGTGGAGTGGAGTGCAGTGGAATGTAATGGAATGGAATGGTGAAATGTAATGTGAGCTGAGATTGTGCCACTGCACACGAGCCTGGGTGACAGAGTGAGATCCTGTCAAAAGAAAGGAATGGAATTGAATGGAGTATAATGGAATGGAGTGGAATGGAGTGGACTGGAGTGGAGTGGAAAGGAATGCAATGGAATGGGATGGAATGGAAAGAAGTGTAGTGGACTGGAATGGAGTGGAGTGGAATTAATTGGAGTGGAGTGGAGTGGAGTTGATGGAGTGGAATGGAAAGGAATGGAATGGTGAAATGAAATGCTAGCTGAGATTGTGCTACTGCACTCCTGGCTGGGTGACAAAGTGAGATATTCTTGAAAGAAAGGAATGGAACAGAATGCAGTGCATCGGAACGGAATCGAATGGAGTGGACTAGTGTGGACTGGAGTAAAGTTGTGGAGTAGAAAGGAGTGGAATGGAATGGGAAGGAATGGAATGGAATGAAGTGGAGTGGAGTCGGGTGGAGGGGAGTGCCGTGAAATGGAGCGGAATGGGAAAGGATGAAGTGGAATGCAGTGGCATGGAGTGCAGAGGAGGTGAGAGGAGTGGAATGTAGTGGAATGAAATCGAATGTAATGGAATGTTGTGCAGCGGAGTTTAGTGTAGTGGAACGGAGAGGAATGGAATGGAATGGAATGAAATGTAACGGAATGGAGTGGAGTGGAGTGGATTGGACTAGAGGGGAGTGAAGTGGAGTGGAATGGAGACGAAAGGAATGGGATTGAAGGGAATGCAATGAAATGGAGTGGAGTGGGGTGGAGTGGAATAGGATGGAATGGAATGGAATGAAGTGGACTGGAGGGGAATGGAGTGAAATGAAGTGGAGTGGAGTGGAATGGAGAGGAATGGGATTGGAAAGAATGGAATGGAATGAGGTGGAGTGGAGTGGGGTGGAGTGGAGTGCAGTGGAATGGAGCAGAATTAAATAGGATGGAGTGGAATATATTGGAGAGGAGTGCAGTGGAGTGGAGAGGACTGGAAAGGAGTGGAAGGGAGGCGGATGAAATGGAATTTAGTGGATTAGAGTGGAGGAGAGTGGAATGGAAGGGATTGGAATGGAATGGAGTGGAATGGAATGGAATGGAATGGAATGGAATGGAATGGAATGGAATGGAATGGAATGCAATGCAATGCAATGGAATAGAACGCAATGCAATGGAAAGTTGGCATTTAATGTGAGCTCAGATTGTGCCACTGCACTCCAGCCTGGGGGACACAGTGATATCCTGTCCAAAGAAAGGAATGGAATGCAATGGAGTGAAACTGAATGGGCTGGAGTGGAGTGGAGTGGAGTGGAATGGAGTTGAGTGGAGTGGAGTGGAACGGAATGGAACGGAACGGAATGGAACAGAATGAAACGAAATTGAATGGTGAAAAGAAATGTGTGCTGAGATTGTGCCTTTACACAACAGCCTGTGTGACAGAGGAAGATTCTGTCGAAAGACAGGAGTGGAATGGAAGGGATTCAAATGGAATGGAATGGAATGGAATGGAATGGAATGGAATGGATTGTGGTGGAGTGTAGTGGAATTGAGTGGAGTGGATTGGAGTGCAGTGGAACGGAATGGAAAGGAATGGAATGGAACGGAAAGGAATGGAATGGAATGGAATGGAATGGAATGGAATGGAATGGAATGGAATGGAATGGAATGGAATGGAATCGAATGGAATGGAATGGAAAGAAGTAAAATGGAATGGTAATGAAATGTAAACTGAGTTTGTGCCACTACACTCCAGGCTGGGTGACAGAATGAGATACCCTCGAAAGAAGGGAATGGAATGCAATGCAATGGAATGGAATGGAGTGGACTGCAGTGGAGTGGAATAGAATGAAGTGGAGTAGAGAGGAATGGAGAGGATTGGAATGGGATGGAATGGAATGGAATGAATTGGAGTGGAGTGGGGTGGTGTGGAGTGCAATGGAATGGAGTGGAATGGAATGAGATGGAGTGGAATGGAGTGGAGTGGTGTGCAGTGGAGTGGAGAGGAGTGGAATGGAATCAGAAGAAATGACATGTAGTGGAGAGGAGTGGAGTGGAACGGAATGGAATGGAACTTAATTGAATTTAATGGAATGGAATGGAATGGAATGGAATGCAATGGAATGAAATGGAATGGAATGGAATACAATTGATTGGAATGGAATGCAATGGAATAGAATGCAAGGCAATGTAAAGTTGATATATAGTGTGAGCTGAGATTGTGCCACTGCACTTAAGCCTGGCTGACACAATGATATCCTTTTGAAAGAAAGGAATGGATTGTAAGGTAGTGAAATGGAATGGGATGGAATGGAATGAAATGGCATGGATTGGAGTGGAGAGGAGTGCAGTGAAATGGAGCCGAATGGAGTGGGATGGAGTGGAATGAAGTGGAGTGGAGTAGAGTGGAGTGGAGAGGAGTGGAATGGAGTGTAATGGAATGTAGTGGAGTGGAGTGGAAAGGAGTGGAATGGAATGGAATTGAATGGAACAGAATGGAAAGGAATGGAATGGAATGGTGAAAAGAAATGTGAGCTGAGATAGTGCCACTTCACTCAAGCCTGGGTAACAGTGATATCCTGATGAAAGAAAGGAATGGAGTGCAATGGAGTGAAATGGAATGGGATGGAATGGAATGGAATGGAGTGGAATGCAGTGGAGTGGAATGGAGTGAAGCGGAGTACAGTGGAATGGAGAGGAAAGGAATGTGATAGAATGGAATGGAATGAATTGGAGTGTAGTGGGGTGGAGTGGAGTGCAGAGGAATGGAGCAGAATGGAATGGGATGGAGTGGAATGGAGTGGAGTGGCGAGAAGTGGAGTGGAGAGGAGTGGAATGGAATCGAACGGAATCCGATGTAATGAAATGTAGTGGAGTGGAGTGGAGTGGAGGGGAAAGGAATGGAATGGAATTTAATTAAATGGAATGGAATGGAATGGCATGCAATGGAATGGAATGGAATGCATTTGAATAGAATGCAATGCTATGGAAAGATGATATGTAGTGGGAGCCGAGTTTGTGCCACTGCACTCAAGCCTGAGTGACACAGTGATATCCTGTCAAAAGAAAGGAAAGGAATGCAATGGAGTGAAAAGGATGGAATGGAAAGGAATGGAATGGAATGGAATCGAATGGAAAGGAATGGAATGGAATGGAATGGAGTGGAGTGGAATTTAGTGGAGTGGAGTTGAGCGAAGTGGAATTGAGTGGAGTAGAATGGAGTGGAGTGGAGTAGAGTGGAGTGGAGTGGACTGGAAAGAAGTGGAAAGTAGTGGAATGGAAAGGGATGGAAGGGAATGGAAAGGAGTGAACTGGAATGGCGTGGAATGGAATGGAATGGAATGGAGAAATGGAATGTGAGCTGAGATTGTGCCATTGGGCTCTAGGCTTGGTAAAAGAGTGAGATACTCTAGAAAGAAAGGAATGGAATGGAATGGAGTGGAATGGAATGGAATGGAATGGAAAACAATGAAATGGAGTGGACTGGAGTGGAGTGGAGTGGAGTGAAGTGTATTGGATTGGAATAGAGAGGAATGGAAGGGGATGGAATGGAATGAAGTGGAGTGGATTGGGGTGGAGTGGAGTGCAGTTGAATGGAGACGAATGGAATGGGATGGAGTGTAATGGAGTAAAGTGGAGTGGAGTGGATTGGAGAGGAGTGGAATGGATTGAAATGGAATGTAGTTGAGTGGAGTGGAGTGGAATGGAAAGGAGTCAAATGTAATGGAATTGAATGAAATAGAATGGAATGGAATGGAATGGGGTGGAATGGAATGGAATGTATTGGAATGGAATGGAATGGAATGGAATGGAATGGAATGGAATGGAACAGAAAGGAATGGTGAAATGAAATGCGAGCTGAGATTGTGCCACTGTGCTCTAGGCTTGGTAACAGAGTGAGATACTCTCGAAAGAAAGGAATGCAATGGAATGGAATGGAATGGAATGCAATGAAATGGAGTGAACTGGAGTGGAGTGGAGTGGACTGGAGTGGAATGGCGAGGAATGGCGAGGAATGGAATGGGATGGAATGGAATGGAATGAAATGGAGTGGAATGGGTTGGATTGGAGTGCAGTAGAATGGAGCTGAATGGAATGGGATGGAGTGGAATGGAGTGTAGTGGAGTGGAGAGGATTGGAATGGAGTGAAATGGACTCGGATGCAATGGAACGTACCTCAGTGGAGTGGAGTGGAAAGGAGTGGAATGGAATGGAATGGAATGGAATGCATTGGAATGCAATTGAACAGAATGCAATGAAATGGAAAGTTCACATCTAATGTGAACTGAGAATGTGCCACTGTACTCCAACCTGAGTGAAACAGTGATATCCTGTCGAAAGAAAGGAAAGGAATGCAATAAAGTGCAATGGAATGGAATGGAATGGAATGGAATGGAATGGAATGGAATGGAATGGAATGGAATGGAGTGGAGTGGATTGTAGTGGAATGGATTCGAATGGAATGGGATGGAGTTAAATGGGATAGAGTACAGTGGAGTGGAGTGAAAGAGAGTGGAATGGAATGGGATGGAATGGAATGCAATGGAATGGTATAAAGAAATATGAGCTGAGATTGTGCCACTGCACTACAGCCTTTGTGACAGAGAGAGATCCGGTGGAAAGAAAGGAATGGAAGGGAATGGAGTTTAATGGAATGGAATGGAGTGGAGTGGGGTGGAATATAATGGAGTGGAGTGGAGTGGACAGAAGGGTAGTGGATTGGAGTAGAGTGCAACAGAGTGTAGAGGACTGCAAGGGAGTGGAGTGGAGAGGAGTGGAAGGGAGTGGAGCAGAGGGGAATGGAGTGGAGTGGGTTGGATTGGAATGCAGGAGGGTGGAATGGAGTGGAGCGGAGTGGATTTGAATGGAGTGGATTGGAATGGATTAGAGTGGAGTGGTGTGGAGTGGAATTGAGTCGAGTGGAATGGAGTGGAGTGGAAAGGACTGGAGTGGAATGGAAAGGAGTGGAGTGGAGTAGAATGGTGAAGAATGGAATAGGATGGAATTGAATGGAATGAAGTTGAGTGGAGTGGGGTGGACAGAAGTACAGTGGAATATAGCAGAATGGAATGGGATGCAGTGGAATGGGTAGGCTTGGAGTTCAGTGGAGTGGAGAGGTGTGGAATGGAGTGGAATGGAATCGGATGTAACAGAATGTAGTGTAGTGGAGTGGAATGGAGTGGAACGGAGTAGAATGGAATGGAATTGAATGGAATGGAATGGAAAGGAATGCCATGGAATGCAATGGAATGCAATGGAATAGAATACAATGTAATGGAAAGTTGACATGTAAAGTGAGCTGAGATTGTGACACTGCACTCCATCCTGTGTGACACGGTGATATCCTGTTGAAAGAAAGGAATGGAATGCAATGGAGTGAAATGAAATGGAATGGAGTGGTATGGAGTGGATTGGAGTGGAGTGGAGTGCAGTGGAGTGGACTGGACAGGAGTGGAGTGGAATGGAGTCGAATGGAATCTTATCGAGTGTAATGGAATGTAGTGGATTGGAGTAAAGAGGAGTGGAGTGGAGTGGAATGAAGTGAAATAGAATGGAATGGAATAGAAAGCGATACAACTGTGAAAAGAAATGTGAGCTGAGATTGTTCCAGTGCACTCCAGCCTTTGTGACAGAGTGAGATCCTGTGGAAAGAAAGGAAAGGAATGGAGTGGAATGGAATGGAAGGAAGTGGAGTGGAGTGGAGTGGAGTGGAGTGGAAGGGAGTGGAGTGGAGTGGAATGGAGTGGAGTGGATTGGAGTGGAGTCGATTGGAGTGGAATAGAATGGATTCAAACAGAGTGGATTGAAGTGAAGTGGAATGGAGTGGAGTGGAGGTGGGATAGAATGGAGTGCAGTGGAAAGGAGTAGAGTGGAGTGCAGTGGAGTGGAATGCAGTGGAGTGCAGTGGAGTGAAATGGAGTGGCGTGGAATGGAGTGGAGTGGAAAGGAATATAGTGGAACAGAGTGGAGTGGAGGGGAGTGGAATGGAGAAGAATGGAATGGGATGGAATGGAATGGGATGAAGTGGATTGGAGTGGTGTGGAGTGGAGGGCAGTGGATTGGAGCATAATGGAATGGGATAGAGTGGAATGGATTGGAGTGGAGTGCAGTGGATTGGAGAGGATTACAATGGAGTGGAATGGAATCAGATGTAATGGAATGTAGTGTAGTGGAGTGGAGTTGAGTGGAATGGAGTGGAATCTAATGGATTGGAATGGGATGAAATGGAATGGAATGGAATGCAATGGAATGGAATGCCATGGAATTCCATGGAATGCAATTGAATAGAATGCTATGCAATGGAAAGTTGACACGTTATGTGAGCTGAGATTGTGCCACTGCACTTCCAGCCTGGGTGACACAGTGATATTTTGTGGAAAGAAAGGAATGGAATCGATAGAGAGAAATGGAAGCGAATTTAATGGAATGTAGTGGATTGGATAGTAGTGGATTGGAGTGGAGTGGAATGAATTCGAATGGAATGGGATGGAGTGGAATGGAATGGAGTGGAGAGGAGTGAAACGGAGTGTAATGGAATGAGATGGAATGGAATGCAATGGAATGGTCAAAAGAAATATGAGCCGAGATTGTGCAACTACACTGCAGGCTCTGTGTCCGAGTGAGATCTTGCGAAAATAAATGAATGGAATGGAATTAATTGGAATGGAATGGAATGGAGTGGAGTGGAGTAGAATGAAGTGGAGTGGAGTTGTGGAAAATGGAGGGGAGTGGAATGGAGAGGAGTGGAGTGCAGTGGAATTGAGTGGAGTGGAGTAGAGTGGAGGGGAGTAGAATGGAGTGGTGTGGAGTGGATTTGAATGGATTGGAATGGAATGGAGTGGAGTGGAGTGGAGTGCAGTGGAGTTGAGTGGAATGGAGTTGAGTGGAGTGGAATGGAACGGAACGGAATGGAATGGAACAGAATGGAATGGAACAGAATGGAATAGAACAGAATGGAATGGAAAGGAGTGGAATGCAATGTTGAAAAGAAATATTTACTGAGATTTCGCCACTATGCTACAGCCTGCGTGACAGAGGGAGACCCTGTCAAAAGAGGGGAATGGAATAGAAGGGATTAGAATGTAATGGAATGGAATGGATGGGAGTGGAGTGGAGTGAAATTGAGTGGAGTGGAGTGGAGTGGAGTGCAGTGGAATGGAACGCAGTGGAATGGAATGATGAAATGAAATGTGAGCTGAGATTGTGTCACTGCACACCAGCCTGGGTTACAGAGTGAGATCCTGTCAAAAGAAAGGAATGGAATGGAATGGAATGGAGTGTAATGGAATGCAATGGACTGGAGTGGAGTGGAGTGGAAAGGAGGGGAATGGAATGGGATGGTATAGAATGAAGTGGAGTAGACTGGAATGGAGTGGAGTGGAGTGGAGTGGAATGGATTGGAATGGAGTGGAGTGGAGTGGAGTGGAACGGAATGGAATTGAATGGAATGGAATGGTGAAATAAAATGTGAGCTAAGTTTCTGCCATTGTGCTCCAGACTGGGTGACAGAGTGAGATACTCTCGAAAGAAAGGAATGGAATGGAATGTAGTTGAATGCAATGGAATGAAATGGAGTGGGTTGGAGGGGAGAGGAGTGATGTGGAGTAGGGTGGAATGGAGCGGAATGGAATGAGGTGAAATGGAATGTAATGAAGTGGAGTGGGGTGGATTGGAGTGCAGGGGAGTGGAGCGCAATGGAATGGGATGGAGTACAGTGGAGTGGAGTGAAGTGCAGCGGAGTGGAGAGTAGTGGAATAGAGTATAATGGAATCATATATAATGGAATGTAGTGGAGTGGAGTTGAGTGGACTGGAACGGAGTGGAATGGAATGGAATGGAAAGAATGCAATGCAACGGAAAGTTGACATGCAATGTGAGCTGAGATTGTGCCACAGCATTCCAGCCTGGGTGACACAGTAATATCTTGTTGAAAGAAAGGAATGAAATTCAATGGAGTGAAATGGAATGTAATAGAATGGAATGGAATGGAGTGGAGTGGAGTAGAGTGAAATAGAGTGGAATGGAAAGGGATGGAATGGAATGCAATGGAATGGTGAAAAGAAATGAAGCTGACTGTGCCACTGCACTGCAGCCTTTGTGACAGAGAGAGATGCTGTGGAAAGAAAAAAAATGGAACGGAATGGAGTGGAATGGAATGGAGTGGAGTGAAGGTGCGTGGAGTGGAATGAAATGCAGTGGAATGGAATGGAGTGGAATGGAGTGAAGTGGAATGGATGGAGTGGAGTGCAGTGGAGTGGAAGGGTTTGGAATGGAGTGAAGTGGAGTAGAGTGGAATGGAATGGAGTGGAGTGAAATAGAGTGGAGTGGAGTGGAATGCTGTGAAGTGGATTGGAGTGGAATGGAGTGAAGTGCAGTGGAGTGGAGTGGGATGAAATGGTGTGGAATGGATGGGAGTGGAGTGGTGTGGAGTGGAATGAGTAGAATGGAGTGAAGTGAAATGGAATGGAAAGGAGTGGAGTGGAGTGGAGCGGAGTGGACTGGAGTGGATTGGAGTGGAGTGCAGTGGAATGGAATGGAATGGAATGGAATGGAATGGAATGGAATGGAATGGAATGGTGAAATGAAATGTGAGGTGAGATTCTGCCACTGTGCTCCAGTATGGGTGACAGAGTGAGATACTCTTGAAAGAAAGGAATGGAATGAAATGGAGTGGAATGGAATGGAATGCAATGAAATGGAGTGGACTGGATTGGAGTGGAGTGGAGTGAAGTGGATTGGAGTGGAATCGAGAGGAATGGAATGGGATGGAATGGATTTAAGTGGAGTGGATTGGGGTGGAGGGGAGTGCAGTGGAATGGAGCCGAATGGAATGGGATGGAGTGGAATGGAGTGTAGTGAAGTGCAGTGGAGGGGAGAGGAGTGGAATGGAATGGAATGGAATCGGATGCAATGGAATGTAGCTGAGGGGAGTGGAGTGGAGTGGAATGGTGTGGAATGGAATAGAATGGAATGGAATGGAATGGAATGGAATGCAATGGAATGTAATTGAATAGAATGCAATAAAAAGAAAAGTTGACATGTAATGTGAGCTGAGATTGTGCCACTGCACTCCAACCTGAGTGACACAGTGATATCCTGTCAAAAGAAAGTAATGAAGTGCAATGTAATGGAATAGAATGGAAAGGAAAGGAGTGGAGATGAGTGGAGTGGAATGGAATGGAGTGGAGTGGAGTGGAGTGGAGTGAAATGGAATGGAATGGAATTTAATGGAATGGAGTGGAGTGGAATGGATGGAGTGGAGTGGAGTGGAATGGAATGGAGTGGAGTGGATTGGAATGGAGTGGAGTGAAACAGAGTGGAGTGGAGTGGAGTGGGATAGAATGGAGTGGAATGTATTGGAGAGGAGTGGAGTGCAGTGCAATGTTTAGAGTGGAGTGAAGTGAAATGGAATGGACAGGAGTGGAGTGGAGTGGAGTGGAGTGGACTGGAGTGGTGTGGAGTGTAATGTAATGTAATGTAATCTAATGGAATGGAATGGAATAGAAAGGAATGGAATGGAATGGTTAAAAGAAATGTGTGTTGAGATTGTGTCACTACGCTACAGACTGTGTGACAGAAAGAGATCCTGTCGAAAGATAGGAGTGGAATGGAAGGGATTGGAATGGAATGGGATGAAATGGAATGAAGTGGAGTGGAGTGGGGTGGAGTGGATTGCAGTAGAATGGAGTGGAAAGGAATGGGAGGCAGTGCAATGGAGTGGGGTGGTGGGCTGTGGAGTGGAGAGGAGGGGAATGGAGAGGAATGGAATTGCATGTAATGTAATGTAGTAGAGTGGAGTGGAGTAGAATGGAGTGGAAAGGAATGGCATTGAATGAACAGGAATGTAATGGAATGTAATGGAATGCACTGGAATGGAATGGAATGGAACGCAATGAAATGCAATGGAATAGAATGCAATGCAATTGAAAGTTGACATGTAATGAGAGCTGAGATTGTGCCACTGCACTCCAGCCTCAGTGACACCGTGATATCCCGTCGAAAGAAAGGAATGCAATGTAATGGAGGGAAATAGAATGGAATGGAATGGAGTGGAGTGGATTGGAGTGGAGTTGAATGGAATGGGATGAAGAGGAATGGAATGGAGTGGAGTGGAGAGGAGTGGAGTGAAATAGAGTGGAATGGACTGGGAAGGAATTGAAAGAAATGGAATGGTGAAAATAAATGTTAGCTGAGATTGTACCACTGAACTCCAGAATTTTAGACAGAGTGAGATCCCGTGGAAAGGAAAGGAATGGAATGGAATGGAATGGAATGGAATGGAATGGAATGGAATGGAATGGAACGGAACGAAATGGAATGGAATGGAATGGAGTGGAGTGGAGGGGATCAGAGGGGAATGGAATGGAGTGGAGTAGAACGGAATGGAGTGGAGTGGAGTGGATTAGAGGGGACTATAGCGGAGTGGAGTGGAATGGAGTGGAGTGGAATGGGATGGAGTGAGGTGGAATGTAGTGTAGTTGAATGGAGTGGAGTGGAGTGGAGGGTAGTGGAGTGGAATGGATTAGAATGGAATGGAAGGGAATGGTTTGGAGTGGAGAGGAATGGAGTAAAATTGATTCTAGTGGAGTGAAGTGCCATGGAATGGAATGGAAACGAATGGTGAAATGAAATCTTAGCTGAGATTGTGCCACTGCACACCAGCCTGCGTGACAGAGTGAGATCCAATCAAAATAAAGGAATGGAATGGAATGGAGTGCAATCGAATGGAATGGAGGGGAGTGGAGTGGAAAGGAGTGGATTGGTGTGTGACGGAATGGAAAGAAGTGGAGTGGACTGGAATGGAAGGGAGTGCAGTGGAATGGAATGGATTGGAGTGGAGTGGAATGGAATGGAATGGAATCGTGAAATGAAATGGGAACGGAGATTGTGCCACTGCACTCCAGGCAGGGTTTCAAAGTGAGATACTCTTGAGGGAAAGGAATTTAATGGAATGCAGTGGAATGGAATAGAATGGATTGGACAAGAGTGCAGTGAAGTGGAGAGAAGTGGAGTGGAGTGAAATGGAGAGGAATTGAATGGGATGCAATGGAATGGACCGAAGTGGAGTGGAGTGGGGTGTAGGGGAATGAGGTGGAATGGAGCATAATTGAATGGGATCGAGTGGAATGGAGTGGAGTGGTGTGCATTGGAGAGGAATGGAATGGAGTGGAATGCACTCGGATGTAATGGAATGTAGTGGAGTGGAGTGGAGTGGAAGAGAGTGGAATGGAAAGGAATGGAATGGAAGAGAATGAAATGGAATAGACTGCAATGCAATGAAAGCTGACACGTAATGTGAGCTGAGATTGTGCCACTTGAATCCAGCCTAAGTGACACAGTGATATCCTGTCCAAAGAAATAATTGAATGCAATGGAGTGAAATGGAATGGAATGGAAAGGAATGGAATGTAGTGGAGTGGAGTGGAGTGGAGTGGAGTGGAGTGGAGTGGAGTAGAGTGTTGTGGAATGGAGTGGAATAGAGAGGAACGGAGTGGAATGGAAAGGACTGGAGTGTAGTGGAGTGGAATGGAGAGGAGTGGAAAGAGGTGGAGTGGATTGGATTGGAGTGGGGTTGAATGGCATGCAGTGGAGTGCAATGGAGTGGAGTGGAGTGTAAGAGAGTGGAGTGGAATGGAATGGAATGGTGTGGAGTGGAATGGAGTGGAATGGAATGGAGTGGAGAGGAGTGGAGTGGAATGGAGCAGCATGGAGTGGAGTGGTGTGGAGTAGATTGCAGTGGAGTGGAGTGGAAACGAATTGAGTGGAATGGTATGGAATGGAATGGAATATAATGCAATGAAATGGAAAGTTGACATGTAATCAGAGTTGAGATTGTGTCACTGCACTCCTGCAAGGGTGACACAGCGATATCCTGTCAAAAGAAAGGAATGGAATGCAATGGAGTGAAAAGGAATGGAATATAAAGGAATGGAGTGGAACGGAGTGTATCGGAATGGAGTGGTGTGGAGTAGAATGGGGTGGAGAGGAGTGGAATGGAGTGGAGTGGAGTGGAATGGAGAGGAGTGGAGTGGAAAGGAATGGAGCGGAGGGAGTGGAATGGAGTGGAGAGGAGTGGAATGGAGTGGAGTGGAATGGAATGGAGTGGATGAAGTGGAATGGAATGGAATGGAGTCGAATGGAGTGTAATGGAATGGAGTGGAGTGGACTGGAATGGAATGGTATGATTGGAAATGAGTGGAGTGGAGTGGAATGTAGTGGAGTTGAGTGGACTGCAGTGGAGTCGAATTGAATGGAGTGGAGAAAAGTGGAAAGGAGAGGAATAAAATGGAATGGTGGAGAGTGGAGTGGAATGGAGTGGAGTGGACTGCAGTAGAATGGCATGGAATGGAGAGGAGTGGAATGGAGTGGAGTGGAGTGAAATGGAGTGGAGTGGAATGGAATGGAGTGGAGTGGAGTGGAGTTCAGTGGTGTGGAGTGGAGTGGAGTGGAGTGGATTGGAGTGCAGTGGAGTGGAACTGAATGGAGTGGAATGGAATGGAATGGTATGCAATGGAATGGAATGAAATAAAATGGAATGGAATGGAATGCAATGCAATGCAATGGAAAGAAGACATGTAATGTCAGCTGAGATTGTAAACCTGCAATTCAGCCTGGGTGACACAGTGATATCCTGCCAAAAGAAAGTAATGGAATGCAATGGAATGGAATGGAATGGAATGGAATAGAGTGGAGTAGAGTGGAGTGGAGTGGAGTGGAGTGGAGTGGAGTGGAGTAGAATGTAGTGAAGTGGAGTGGAATGGAGTCAAATGGAATGGGATGGAGTGGAATGGAATGGAATGGAGCAGACTGAAATGGAGTCGAGTGGAGTGGAGTGGACTGGAATGGAATGAAGTCGAATTCAATTGAGTGGAATGGAATGGCATGGAGTAGAATGGAATGGAGTGGAGTGGAGTGGAATGGAGTGGAGTGGAGTGGAGTGGAATGAAATGGAATAGAGTGGAATGGAATGGAGTGGAATGGAATGAAGTGGAGTGGAATAAAATGGAGTGGAGTGGAGTGTAATGGAGAGGAGTGGAGTGGAGTGGAATGAAATGGAATGGAGGAGAATGGAATGGTGAAATGAAATGTGAGCTGAGATTGTGCCACTGCGCTTCAACTTGGGTGGCAGAGTGAGATTCTGTCGAAAGAAAATATTGGAATGGAATGCAGTGGTATGGAATGGAATGGAGTGGAGTGGAGTGGAGAGGAGTGGAATGGTGTGAAATGGAATCTGATGTAATGGAATGTAGTTGAGGGGGAAGGAATGGAGTGGATTGAAGTTGAAAGGAACAGAAGAAAACAAATGGAACCAAACAGAGCCTAGAGGAGTGGAGTGGAGTAGAGTTGAGTGTAGTGGATTGGAGTGCAGTGGAATGGAATGGAGTGCAGGGGTATGAAATTGAGAGGAGTGGATTGGAGTGGAAGGGATTGGACTAGAGTGGACTGGAGTGGAATTAAGTGGAGTGGAATGGAGTAGAGTGAAGAGGAATGGAGTGGACTGGAATGGAGTGGAGTGGAATGGAGTGGAATGGAGTGGAATGGAATTGATTTGAGTGGAATGGAGTGGAGTGGGGTGGAGCAGAGTGGAATGGATTGGAAGAGAAAGGAATGGAATGGAATGGAGTGGAGTGGAGTGGTGAGGAGTGGAGTGGAATGGAATGGAATGGAGTGGAGTGGAATGGAATGGAATGGAATGGAATGGAATGGAATGGAATGGAATGGAATGGAATGGAGTGGAGGGGAATGGAATGGAATGGAATGGAATGGAGTAGAGTGGAATGGAATGTAATGGAGTGAAGTGGAATGGAATGGAATGAAATGAAGTAGAATGGAGTGCAATGGATTGGAGTTGAGGGGAGTGGAGAGGAATTGAGTACAATGGAGTGGAATGCATTTGAGTGGAGTGGAGTGGCGTGGCATGGAGTAGAGTGTATTATAGTAGAGTAGAATGGAATGCAGCAGAGTGGAATTTAGTGGAATGGAGTGGAGAGGAGTGGAGTGGAGTGGAATGGAATGGAATGGAATAGAATGGAATGTAGTGAAGTGGAGTAGACTGGAGTGGAGTGGAATGGAATGGAATGGTAGGGAATTGAATGGAATGGAGTAGAAGGGAATGGAGTGGAGTGGAGTGGAATGGAGTGGAATGGAATGGAGTGGAGTGGTGTGGAGTGTACTGGAATGAAATTGACTAGAACGGAATGGAATGGAATGGAACGGAATAGTTAAATGAAATATGAGCTAAGATAGAGCTACTGCACTCCAGTCTGGGTGACAGAGTGAGATCCAGTCGAAAAAAAGGAGTGGAATGGAATGGAGTGGAATGGAATGGAATGGAATGGAATGGAATGGAATGGAATGGAATGGAATGGAGTGGAGAGGAGAGTAGTCGAGTGGAGTGGAGTGGAAAGGAATGGAATTTAGGGAAATGGAATGGAATGGAATGGAATAGAATGATGAAATGAAATGTGAGCTGAGATTGTGCCACTGCACTCCAGCCTGGGTGACAGAGATATCCTGTCAAAAGAAAATATTAGAATGGAATGCAGTGGCATGGAATGGAATGGAGAGGAGTGGATTGGATAGGAGTGGAATGGAAAGGGATGGAATGAAATAGAGTGTAGTGGAGTGGAGTAGAGTGGAATGGAATGGAGTGGAGTGGAGTGGAAAGGAGTGGAGTGGAGTGGAATGGAATGGAATGGAGCGGAATGGAATGGAATGGAATGGAATGGTGAAATTAATGTGTGCTGAGATTGTGTCACTGTGCTACAGCCTGTGTGACAGAGGGAGATCCTTTCGAAAGAAAGGAGTGGAATGCAAGGGATTGGAATGGAATTGAATGGAAAGGATTGGAGTGGAGTGGAG
>NC_000024.10:10970620-10986652 GCF_000001405.40 Homo sapiens | reverse complement strand
TGAAACTGAATGGAATGGAATGGAATGGCAAAATAAAATGTGAGCTGAGATTGTGCCACTGCACACCAGCCTGGGAGACAGAGTGAGATCCTGTCAAAATAAATGTACGGAACGGAATGGAGTGGAATTGAATGGACAGGAGTGGTGTGGAGTGGAGTGGAGTGGAAAGGAGAGGAATGGAATGAGATGGAATGGAAAGGTGTGGATTGGAATGGAATGGAGTGGAGTGGAGTGGAGTGGAGTGCAGTGGAGTGGAATGGAATGATATGGAATGGAATGGAATGGAATGGTGAAATGAAATGGGATCTGAGATTGTGCCACTGAAATCCAGGCTGTGTGACAGGGTGAGATACTTTCTAAAGAAAGGAATGGAATGGAATAGAGTGGAATGTATGGGATGGAATGGAATGGAACGGAATGGAATGAAAGGAGTGGACTGGAGTGGAGTGGAGAGGACTGAAGTGGATTGTAATGCAATGGAGAGGAATGTAATGGGGTGGAATGAAAAGGAATGAAGTGGAGTGGAGTGGGGAGAAGTGGAGTGCATTGGAATGGAGGGGAATGGAACAGGATGTAGTTTAATGGAGTGGAGTGAAGGGCAGTGGAAGGGAGAGGAGTGGAATAGAGTGAAATGGAATTGGATATAAAATAGTGTAGTTGAGTGACATGGAGTGGAGTGGAGTGTACTGGAGTAGACTGGAGTGGAACGGAATGTAGTGGAGTGGAGTGGAAAAAAGTGGACTGGAATGGAGTGGAGTGGAATGGAATGGAATGGGGTGGATTGGAAAGGAAAGGAGAAAAATGGAATGGAGAGGAGTGAAGAGGAGTGTAGTGGAGTGGAATGGAGTGGAATGGAGTTAAATGTAGGTGAGTGGAATGGACTGGAGTGGAAAAGAATGGAGAGGAATGGAATGGGTTGCAGTGGAATGGAATGGAATGGAGTGGAGTGGAACAGAATGCAATGGAGTAAAGTGGAATGGAGTGGAGTGGAAAGGAGTGGAATGCAATGGAATGGAATTGAATGGAGTGGAGAGAAGTGGAGAGGCGTGGAGTGGAATGGAGTGGAATGGAATGAAATGGAAATGAGTGCAGTGGCGGGGAGTGGAATGGAATGAAATGGAATGGAATAGAGTAGGTTGGAGTAGAACATAATGGAATGGATTGGAGTGAAATGGAAGAGAGTGGAGTGGAATGGAGTTGAGGGGAGTGGAATGGATTTGAGTGGAGTGGAATGGAATGGATTGCAGTGGAGTCGAATGGAGTTGAGTGTAATGGAGTTGAATGAAGTGGAATGGTATGGAATGGAGTGGAGTGGTATCGAGTGGATTGGAGTGGAGTGGAATGGAAAGGAATGGAATAGAATGGAGTTGAACGGAGTGGAATGGAATGGAATAGAGTGGAGTGTAATGGAATGGAGAGTAGTGGAATGGAATGGAATGGAATGGAATGGAGTGGAGTGGAGTAGAATGGAGTGTAATGGAGTGGAGTGGAGAGGAATGGAGCGGAATCGAGTGGAATGGAGTGGAGTGGAGAGGAATAGTATGGAGTGGAGTGGAGTGGAGTGGAATGGAGTAGAATGGAGTGGAGTGGAGTGGAATGGAGTGAGGTGGAGTGGAATGGAATGGAATGCTATGGGAGGGAATAGAGTGGCGTGGAATGTAGTTGAATGGAATGGAATGGAGTGGAATGGAGTGCAATGGGATGGTATGGAATGGAATGGATTGGAACGGAATGGAATGGAATGGAACAGAGTGGAATGGAATGGAATGGAAATGAATGGAATGGAATGGAATAAAATGGAGTCGAAAGGAATGTAGTGGAGTGCAGTGGAATGGAGTGGAATGGTATGGAGTAGAGTGGAATGCAAAGGAGTGGTGTGGAATGGATTGGAACGGAGTGGAGTGGAGTGAAGTAGAGTGGACTTGAATTGAGTGGAGTGGAGTGCTGTGGAGTGAAGTGGAATGAAATGGAATGGAAGGGCATGGAGTGGAATGGAATGTTTGGAGTCCAATGTATCATAGTGGACTGAAATGGAGTGGCGTGGAGTGGAGTGTGATGGAATGGAAAGGAATGGAATGTATTGGAATGGACTGTAATTGCATGGAATGGAATGGTGAAATGAAATGTGAGCTAAGATTTTGCCACTGCACTTCAGTCTGGGTGACAGAGTGAGATCCAGTCAAAATAAATGAATGTAACGGAATGGAGTAGAATGGAATGGAATGGAGTGGAGGGAAGTAAAATGGAGAGGATTGGAGTGGAGTGGAATGGAATGGAATGGAGGCGAGTGGAATAAAATGGAATGGTGAAATGAAATATGAGCTGAGAGTGTGCCACTGCACTCCATCCTGCGTGACAGAGTGAGATCCTGTCAAAAGAAAATATTGAAATGGAAAGGAGTGGAATAGAATGAAGTGCAGTGGAGAGGAAAGGAGTGGAATGGAATGAAAAGGAGTGGAATGGCGTAGAGTAGAGTGGAATGGAATGGGGTGAAGTGGAGTGGCGTGGAAAGCAGTGGAGGGGATTGGAATGGAATAGAATGGAATGAAATGGAATGCAAAAAGAAACGTGTGCTGAGATTTTGCCACTGCGCTGCTGCCTGTGTGACAGAGGGAGAATATGTTGAAAGAAAGAAGTGGAATGGAATGGAATGGAATGGAATGGAATGGAATGGAATGGAATGGAATGGAATGGAATGGAATGGAGTGGAGTGGAGTGGAATAGAGTGCAGTGGAGTGGAGTGCAGTGGAACGGAATTAAATGGAATGGAATGGAATGGTGGAATGAAATATGCACTGAGATTGTGCCGCTGCAGACGGGCCTGGGTGACAGAGTTATATTCTGTCAAAAGAAAGGAATGGACTGGAGAGCAGTGGAATGGAATGGAATGGAGTGGAGTGGAGCGGAGTGGAAAGAAATGGGATGGACTGGAAAGGAGTGGAGTGGACTGCAATGGAGTGAAGTGAAGTGGAGTGGAATGGATTGGAGTGGAGTCTAGTGGAGTGGAGTGGAATGGAATGGTATGAAATGGAATGGTGAAATGAAATGTGAGCTGAGATTGTGCCACTGCACTCCAGGATGGGTGACAGAGTGAGATACTCTCGAAAGAAAGCAATGGAATGGAATGCAGTGCCATGGAATGGAATGGAATGGAATGGAATGGAATGGAATGGAATGGAATGCAGTGTACTGGAGTGGAATGGAGTGGAGTGAAGTGTAGTGGAATGTAGTGAAGTGGAGCAGAATGGGATGGAATGGAAGATAATGCAGTGTAGTGATAAGGGGTAGAGTGAAGTGCAGTGGAATGGAGTGGAATGGAATGGGATAGAGTGGAATGGAGTGGAGTGCAGTGGAGTGGAGAGGAGTGGATTGGAGTGGAATGGATTCGTATGTAATGGAATGCATTGGAGTGGAGTGGAGTGGAACGGAACGGAGTGGAAAGGAATGGAAGGGAATGGAAGGGAATGGAAAGGACTGGAGTGGAGTGGAGTGGATCGGAGTGGAAAGGAATGGAAGGGAATGGAAGGGAATGGAAAGGACTGGAGTGGAGTGGAGTGGAGTGGATCGGAGTGCAATGTAATGTAATGGAATGGAATGGAATGGAATGGAGGGTAGTGGAGTGGACTGGACTCGAGTAGAGTCGAGTGGACTGGAATGGAGTGGAATGAAGTGGAGTTGAGTGGAATGGAGTGGAGTGGAATAGCGAGGAATGGAATGGAGTGGAATAGAATGGAATGGAATGGACTGGAGTGGAGTTCAATAGAGTGGAATGGAGTGAAGTGGAATGGAATGGAGTGGAGTGGAATGGAATGGAGTGGTGTGGAGTGCAGTTTAGTGGAATGGAGTGGAGGGGAGTGGAGTGAAACGGAATGGAATGGAGAGGAGTGGAATGGAATCGATTGGAGTGGAATAGAATGGAGTGGAGAGGAATGGATTGGAGAGGAGTGGAATTGAAGGAAGTGAAGTGGAGTGGAATTAAGTGGATTGGAGGGGTGTGGAATGGAATGGAATGGAGTGGAGTGGAGTGGAATGGAATGGAATGAAATGAAATGGAATGGAGTGGAGTGAAGTAGAATGGAATGGAATGAATTGGAGTGGAATGAAATGGAATGGACTGGAGTGGAGTGGAGTGGAATGGAGTGGAATAGAGTGGATTGTAATGGAACGGAATGGAATGCAGTAGAGTGGAGTGGAGTTTAGTGGAGTGAAGTGGATTGGAGTGGAATGGAATGGAATGGAGTGGAAAGGAGTGGAATGGAATTGATTGGAGTGGAGTGGAGTGGAATTAAGTGGAGTAGAGTGCAGTGGAATGGAATGGAGTGGAATGTTGAAATGAAATGTGAGCTGAGATTGTGCCACTGCACACCAGCCAGGGTGACAGAGTGAGATCCTATCAAAAGAAAGGAATGGAATGGAATGGAATGGAATGGAATGGAATGGAATGGAATGGAATGGAATGGAGGTGATTGGAGTAGACTGGAGTGGAGTGGAAAGGAGAAGAATGGAATGGTATGGAATGGAAAGGAGTTGCGTGGACTGGAAAGGAGTGAAGTGAACTGGAATGGATTGGAGTGGAGTGGATTTAGTGGAATTGAATGGAATGGAATGGAATGGAATGGAATGGATAGGTGAATGAAATTCGAGCTGAGATTGTGCCACTACACTGCAGGCTGGGTGACAGAGTGGGATACTATTGAAAGAAAGGAATGGAATGGAATGCAGTGGAATGGAATGGAATGCAGTGGACTGGAGTGGAGTGGAGTAAAGTGTAGTGGAGGAGAAAGGAGTGTAATGGAATGGGAAGGAATGGAATGGAATGAAGTGGAGTGGAGTCAGGAAGAAGGGAGTGCTGACTAACGGAGTGGAATGGAAAAGGATGCAGTGGAATGCAGTGGCATGGAGTGCAGTGGAGGTGAGGGGAGTGGAATGGCGTGGAATGGAATCGGATGTAATGGAATGTTGTGGATTGGAATAGATTGGAGTGGAACGGAGTGAAATGGAATGGAATGGAATGCAATGCAATGTTATAGAATGCAATGCAAAGGAAAGTTGACATGTAATGTGAGCTGCGATTGTGCCACTGCACTCCAGCCTGGGTGACACAGTGATATCCTGTTGAAAGAAAGGAATGGAATACAATGATTGAAATGGAATCCAATGGATTTGAATGGATTGGAGTGGAGTGGAGTGAAGTGGAGTGGAGTGCAGTGCAATAGCGTGGACTGGAGTAGAGTGGAGTGTGGTGGAGTGGAGTGCAGTGCAATGGAACGGAATGGAACGTAGTGGAATGGCATGGAGTGGGGTGGAGTGAATTGGAGTGTAATGGACTGGAGTGGAGTGGATTGAAATGACATGGAGTGAAATGGAATGGAGTGGAGTGGATTGGAGTGGAAAGGAGTGGAACAGAATGGAATGGAATGGAACAGAATGCAATGGAGTGGAACGGAACAGAACGGAATGGAATGGTGAAAAGGAATGTGTGCTGAGATTGTGCCACTATGTTACAGCCTGTGTGTCAGAGGGAGATCATTTTGAAAGAATGGAGCGGAATTTAAAGGATTGGAATGGAATAGAATATAATGGAATGGATTCCAGTGGAGTGCAGTGGAATTGAGTGGATCGGAGTGGAGTGCAGTCGAATGGAGTGGAATGGAATATAATGGAACGGAATGAAATGCAATGGAATGGTGAAATGAAATGTGACCTGAGACTGTGTCACTGCACACCAGCCTGGGTGACAGAGTGAGATACTGTCAAAAGAAAGCAAGGGAATGGAATGGAGTGGAAATGAATGGTACAGAGTGTAGTGGACTGGAGTGGAAAGGAGTGGCATGGAATGGGATGGAGTGGAATTGAATGGAGTGTAGTGGAGTGGAGTTTAATGGATTAGAGTGGAATGGAATGGAATGGAATGGAATGGAATGGAATGGAATGGAATGGAATGGAATGGAATGGTGAAATGAAATGTGAGCTGAAATTGTGCCACTGCGCTCCAGCCTGGGTGACAGAGTGAGATACTCTCGAAAGAAACTAATGGAATGGAAGGCACTGGAATTTAGTGGAATGGAATGGAGAGGACTGAAGTGGAGTGGAGTGGAGTTGAGTGGAATGGAGTCGAATAGAATGGGATGGAGGAGAATGGAATGGAGTGGCATGGAGTGGAGTGAAACTGAGTGTAATGGAATGGAATGCAATGGAATGATGAAAAGAAATGTGAGTTGAGATTGTGCCATTGCACTCCAAACTTTGTAACAGAGTGAGATCCTGTGGAAGGAAAGTAATGGAATTGAATGGAGAGTAATGGAATGGAATGGATTGGAGTGTAGTGTAATGGAGTGGAGTGGAGTGAAGTGGAGTGTAGTGGAGAGGAATGGAGAGGAGTGGAATGGAGGGGAGTGGAATGGAGTGGATTGGAATGGAGTGGAGTGGAGTGGAATGTGGTGGAGTAGAGTGGAGTGGAGAGGGATGGAGTGGATTACAGTGCAATGGAGAGGAATGGAATGGAGTGGAATGGAGAGGAGTGGGGTGGAATGGAGTGCAGTGCAATGGAGTGGAATAGAATAAACTGGAATGGAATGGAGTGGAGTGGAGTGGAATGGAGTGGAGTGGAGTAAAGTGGAATGTAACGAAGTGGAGTGGAATGGAGGGGCGTGGAATGGAATGGAATGGAATGGAATGGAATGGAATTGCAAAAAGAAATGTGTGCTGAGACTGTGCCACTAGGCAACAGCCTGTGTGACAGCGGGAGATCCTGTTGAAAGAAAGGAGTTGAATGGAAGAGATTGGAATGGAATGGAATGGAATCAGTTGGAGTGGAATGGAGAGGAATTGAGTGGAGTGGAGTACAGTGGAATGGAATGGAGTGGAATCGAATAGTAACGAAATGTGAACTGAATTTCTGCCACTGCACTCCAGGCTGGGTGACAGAGCGAGGTACTCTCAAAAGAAAGGAATGGAATGGAATGCAGTGGAACTGAATGGAATGGAGTGGCCTGCAGTGGAGTGAAATGGAGTTAAGTGGAGTAGAGTGGAATGGAGAGGAATGGAATGGCATGAAGTGGAATGGAATGAAGTGGAGTGGAGTGGGGTGGAGTGGAGTGCAGTGGAATGGAGCGGAATGGAAGGGGATGGAGTGGAATTGAGTGTAGTGGTGTACAGTGGAGTGGAGAGGAGTGGAATGGAATCAGAAGTAATGAAATGTAGTGGAGTGCAGTGGAGTGGAATCAGATTTAATGTAATGATGTGGAGTGGAGTGGAGTGGAATGTAATGGAATGCAATGGAATGGAATGGAATGCAATGGAATAGAATGCAATGAAATGGAAAGCTGACATGTAATGTGAGCTGAGATTGTTCCACTGCACTCCAGCCTGGGGGACACAGTGACATCCTGTTGAGAGAAAGGAATGGAATGCAATGGTGTGAAAAGAAATGGAACGGAAAGGAATTGAATGGAGTGGAGGTGAGTGTAATGGAGTCGAATGGAATGGGATGAAGTGAAGTGGAATGGAGTGGAGTGGAGTGGATTAGAGTGGAGTGGAGTGAAATAAAGTGGAATGTAATGGGATGGAATAGAATGCAATGGAATAGTGAAAAGAAAAGTGAGCTGAGATTGTGCCACAGAACTCCAGCATTTGTGGCAGGGTGAGATCCTGTGGAAAGAAAGGAATGGGATTGAAAGGAGTGGAATGGAATGGAATGGGGAGGAGTGGAGTGGGGTGGAGTGGAATGCAGTGGAATGGAATGGAATGGAATGGTGAAAAGGAACGTGTGCTGAGATTTTACCACTATGCTACAGCCTGTGTGACAGAGGGAGATCCTGTCAAAAGAAAGAAATGAAATAGTAGGAATGGAATGGAATGGAATGGAAAGGAATGGATTGCAGTGGAGTGGAGTGGAATTCAGTGGAGTGGAGTGGCGTGTAGTGGAATGGATTGGTGAAATGAAATGTGAGCCGAGATTGTGCTACAACACACCAGCCTGGGTGACAGAGGAAGAACCTGTCAAAAGAAAGGAATGCAATGCAATGGAGTAAAATGGAATGGAATGGAATGGAGTGGAGAGGAGTACTGGAGTGTAGAGGAAAGAAATGGAATGGAATGGTAATGAAATGTGAACTTAGTTTGTGCACTCTGCTTAAAGGCTGGGTGACAGAGTGAGATAGTCTCGAAAGAAAGGAATGGAATGAAACGCAGTGGAATGGAATGGAATGGAATGGAAAGGATTGGACTGCAGTGGAGTGGAATTGAGTGAAGTGGAGTAGAGTAGAATGGAGAAGAATAGAATGGGATTGAATAGAATGGAATCAACAGGAGTGGAGTGGGGTGGAGTGGAGTGCAGAGTAATGGAGCGGAATGTAATGGGATGGAGTGGAATGAAGTGAAGTAGTGTGCAGTGAAGTGGAGAGAAGTGGAATAGAGTAGAATGGAATTGGATGTAATGAAACGTAGTGGAGTGGAGTGGAAGGGAATGGAAAGGAATTTAACGGAATGGAATGGAATGGAATAGAATGGAATGCAATGGAAACTGGATATGAAGTGTGAGCTGAGATTGTGCCACTGTACTCAAGCCTGGGTAACACAGTGATATCCTGTGGAAAGAAAGGAATGGAATGCAATGGAGTGAAATGGAATGGAATGGAATGGATTGGAGAGCAATTTTGTGGAGTGGAGTGCAGTGGAGAGCAGAGGATTTGAGTGGAGTAGAATGGAGTGGAGTGGAATGGAGTGGAAATGAGTGGAATGAAATGGGATGGAATGGAATGGAGAGGAGTGGACTGGAACAGAGTGGAATGGAATGGAGTGGAGATGATTGGAGTAGAGTGGAGTGGAATGGAATGGAATGCAAAGGAATAAAATGGAATGGAAAGGAATGGTGAAATGAAATGTGAGCTGAGAATTTGCCACTGTGCTATAGGATTGGTATCAGAGTGAGATAATCTCAAAAGAAAGGAATGGAGTGGAATGGAATGGAATGCAATGAAATGGAGTGGACTGGAACGGAGTGGGTGGAGTTAAGTGGATTGGAGTGGAATGAAGAGGAATGGAATGGGATGGAATGGGATGGAATGAAGTGGATTGGATTAGGGTGGAGTGGACTGCAGTGGAATGGAGCCGAATGGAAGGTGATGGAGTGGAATGGAATGTAGTGGAGTGTAGTGGAGTAGAGAGGAGAGGAATGGAATGGAGTGGAATCGGATGTAATGGAATGTAGTGGAGTGGCATTGAACAGAGTGGAATATAATGGAATGGAATGGATTGGAATGGTGAAATGAAATGGGAGCTGAGATTGTGCCACTGCACTCTAGTCTTGGTAACAGAGTGAAATACTCTCAAAAGAAAGGAATGGAATGAGATGGAGTGGAATGGACTGGAATGGAATGGAAGAGAATGCAATGAAATGGAGTGGACTGGAGTGGTGTGGAGTGAAGAGGATCGGAGTGGAATGTAGAGGAATTGAATGGGATGGAACAGAATGGAATGAAGTGGAGTGAATTGGGGTGGAGGGGAGTGCAGTGGAATGGAGCCGAATGGAATGGGATGGAGTGGAATGGAGTGGAGTGGAGTGGAGTGGAGTGGAGTGGAGAGGAGTGGAATGGAGTGGAACGGAATCGGATGTAATGGAATGTAGTTGAGTGGGGTGGAGTGGAGTGGAAAGGAGTTGAATGGAATGGAATTAAATGAAATGGAATGGAACGGAACGGAATGGAACGGAACGGAACGGAATGGAATGGAATGGAATGGAATGGAATGCAATTGAATAGAATGAAAAGAAATGGAAAGTTGACATGTAATGTGAGCTGAGATTGTGCCACTACACTCCAACCTGTGTGACACAGTCAAATCCTATCGAAAGAAAGTAATGGAATGCAATGGAGAGCAATGGAATGGAATAGAATAGAATGGAAAGGAACGGAATGGAGTGGAGTGGAGTGGAGTGGAGTGGAATGGAATCAAATGGAATGGGATGGAGTGAAATGGGATAGAGTGGAGGGGAGAGGAGTGAAAAAGAGTGGAATGGAATGGGATGGAATGGAATGCAATGAAATGGTGAAAATAAATATAAGCTGAGATTGTGCCACTGCACTACAAACTTTGTGAAAGAGAGAGACCCGGTGGAAAGAAAGGAGTGGAATAGAATGGAGTGGAATGGAATGGAAAGGAGTGGAGTGGAGTTGAATGGAGTGAAGTGAAATGGAGTGGAGCTTAATGTAATGGAGTGGAGTGGAGCTTAATGGAATGGAGTGGAGTAGACTGGAGTGGAAAGTAGTGGAGTGGAGTGGAGTCGATTGGGGTGGAGTGGATTGCAGTGGAATGGTGCAGAAAGGAATGGAATGGAGAGGAGTGCATTGGAGTGGAGTGGAACGGAGTAGATTGGAATGGAGTGGACTGGAGTGGAGTGGAGTGGAAGGGAGTAGAGTGGAGTGGAGTGGAATGGAGTGGATTGGAATTGGGTGGAGTGGAGTGGAGAGGAACGGAGTGGAATGGAATGGAATGGAATGCAATGGAATGTTGCAAAGAAATGTGTGCTGAGATTGTGCCACTAAACTGCAGCCTGTGTGAGAGAGGGAGATCCTGTTGAAAGAAAGGAGTGGAATAGAAGGGATTGGAATGTAATGGAAAGGAATGGACTGGAGTAGAGTGGAGTGGAATTGAGTGGCGAGGAGTGGAGTGCATTGGAATGGAATGGAATGCAATGCAATGGAATGGAATGGAATGTGAAATGAAATTTGAGCTGAGATTGAGCCACTGCACATCAGTCTGGGTAACAGAGTGAGATGGTGTCAAAAGAAAGGAATGGAATGGAATGGAGTAGAATGGAGTGGAGTTGAGTGGAGTGGAGTGGAAAGGAGTGGAATGAAATGGAATGGAATGGAAAGGAGTGGAGTGGACTGGAATGGAGTGGAGTGAAGTGGAGTGGAATCGATTGGCATGGAGAAGAGTGGAGTGGAATGGAATGGAATAAAATGGACTGGAATGGTGAAATAAAATGTGAGCTGAGATTATGCCACTGCACTCCAGGCTGGGTGACAGAGTGAGATAATCTCCAAAGATGAATGGAATGGAATGCTGTGGAATGGAATGGAATGGCGTGGACTGGAGGGGAGTGGAGTGGAGTGGAATGGAGAGGAATGGAATGGAATGGAATGAAGTGGAATGGAGTGCGGGGGAGAGGATTACAGTGTATGGGAGGGTAATGCAATGGGATGGAGTGGAATGGAATGGATTGGATTGCAGTGGTGTGGACAGGAGTGGAGTGGAGTGGAATGGAATCGGATGTAATTGAATGTAGTGGAGTGGAGTGCAGTGGAGTGGAATGGAGTCGAATATACTGGAATTGAATGGAATGGAATAGAATGGAATGCAATGGAATAGAATGCAATAAAATGGCAAGTTGGCATGTAATGTGAGATGAGATTGTTCCACTGCACCACAGCCTGAGTGACACAGTGATATCCTGTCGAAAGAAAGTAATGGAATGCAAAGGAGTTAAATGGAATGGAATGGAATGGAATGAATTGGAGTGGAGTGGAGTCGATTGGAACGTTCTGCAGTGGAATGGAATGGAGTGGAGAGGAGCAAAATAGAGTGGAATGGAATAAGATTTAATAGAATGCAATAGAACGCTGAAAAGAAATATGTGTTGAGATTGTGCCAGTTCACTCCAGACTTTGTGACAGAGTGAGATCCTGTGGAAAGAAAGGAATGGAATGGAATGGAGTGGAGTGGGATGGAGTGGAGTGGAATGGAAGAGAATGTAGTGGAGTAGAGTGGAATGGAGTGCAGTGGAATGGAGTGAAACGGAGTGGGTGGAGTGGGGTGGAGTGGAGTGGAGTGGCATGGAGTGGAACGGAGTGGAGTGGAATGGAGTAGAGTGGAGTGGAATGGAATGGAGAGGAGTGGAATGGAGTGGAGTGGAAAGGAGTGGAGTGGAATGGAGAGGAGTGGAGGGAGCGGAGTGGAATACAGAAGAACGGAATAGGATGGAATTGAATGGAATGAACTTGAGTGGAATATGGTGGAGTGGAGTGGAGTGGAATGGAATGGGATGTAGTTGAATGGATTGTCGTGGAGTGCAGTGGAGTGGAGAGGTGTGGAATGGAGTGGAATGGAATCGGATGTGATGGAAAGCAGTGGAGTGGAGTTGAGTGCAACGGAGTGGAATTGAATGGAATGGAGTGCAATGGAATGAAATGGAATGGGATGCAATGGAATGCAATTGAACAGAATGCAATGCAATGGAAAGTTGAGAAGTAATGTGAGCTGAGATTGTGCCACTGCACTCCAGCCTGGGTGACACAGTGATATCCTGCCAAAAGAAAGGAATGGAATGCAATGGAGTGAAATGGAATGGAATGGTTGCAATGGAATGGAAGGGAATGGAGTGGAGTGCAGTTCAATGGAGTGGAGTGGAATGGAATCGAATGGAATGGGATGGAATGGAATGGATTTGAGTGGAGTGGAGTGTAGTAGAGTGGAGTGGAGTGCAATAGAGTGTAATGGAATGGGACGGAATGGAAGGCAATGGAATGGTCAAAAGAAATGTGAGCTGAGATTGTGCAACTACACTCCAGACTTTGTGACAGATTGGGATCCTGTGGAAAGAAAGAATGGAATGGAATGGAGTGGAATGGAATGGAGTGGAATGGAGTGAAGTGGAGTGGAGTGGACTGGAATGGAATGGAGTGGGTGGAGTGGAATGGAGTGGAGTGGAGTGGAATGGAGTGGAGTGGAGTGGAATGGAGTGGAAAGGAGTGGAGTGGATTAGAATGGAGTGGAGGGAACTGAGAGGAGTGGAGTGGAGTGGAGAAGAGTGGAGTGGAATGGAATGGAATGGAATGGAACGGAATGGAACAGAATGGAATGGAAAGAACTGGAATGGAATAGTGAAAAGAAATATGTGCTGAGATTGGTCCATTACACTACAGCCTGTGTGACAGAGGAAGATCCTGTTGAAAGAAAGGAATTGAATGGAAGGGATTGGAATGGAATGGAATGGAATGGAACGGAACGGAACGGAACGGAACGGAACGGAACGGAATGGAACGGAATGGAATGGAATGGAATGGAATAGAATGGATTGGAGTGGAGTCGAATGAAATTGAGTGTAGTGGAGTGCAGTGGAATAGAATGCAATGGAATTTAATGGTGAAATGAAATGTGAGCTGAGATTGTGCCATTGCACACCTGCCTGGGTAACAGAGTGAGATCCTGTCAAAAGAAAGGAATGAAATGAAATGGCGTGGAATGGACTGCAATGGAGTGGAGTGCAGTGGAGTGGAAAACAGTGCATTGGAACTGGATGGAATTGAAAGGAGTGGAGTGAACTGGAATAGAGTGGAGTGGAGTTGAGTGGAATAGATTGGAATGGAGCGGAGTGCAGTGGAGTGGACTGGAATGGACTGGAATGGAATGGAATGGAATGGAATGGAACGGAATGGTGAAATGAAATGTGAGATGGGATTGTGACATTGTGCTCCAGGATGGGTGACAGAGTGACATACTCTCTAAAGAAAGGAATGGAATGAAATGCAGTGGAATGGAATAGAGAGGAATGTAGTGGAGTGGAGGGAAGTGGAGTGGAATGGAATGGAGAGGAATGGAATGGGATGGAATTGAATGAAGTGGAGTGGAGTAGGGTAGAGTGGAGTGCAGTGGCATGAAGTGGAATGAAATGGGATGGAGTGGAATGGAGTAGAGTGGAGTGCAGTAGAGTGGAGAGGAGTGGAATGTAGTGGAATGGAATCAGATGTAATGGAATGTAGTGGAATGTAGTGGGATGGAATTGAATTGCATGGAATGGAATGGAAAGGAATGGAATGCAATGGAAAGCAATGGAATAGATCGCAATGCAATTGTATGTTGACATGTAATGTGAGTTGATATTGTGCCACTGCACTCCAGCCTGGGTGACCCAGTGATATCCTGTTGAAAGATAGGAATGGAATGCAATGGTCTGAAATGGAATGGAATGGAATGGAGTGGACTGGAGTGGAGTGGAGTGAAGTGGAGTGGAGTGGAATTGAGTTGAATGGAATGGGATCGAGTGGAATGGAATGCAGTGGAGTGGAGTGAAATTGAGTGGAATGGAATGGAAGGGAAAGCAAAGGAATGATGAAAAGAAATGTGAGCTGAGATTCTGCCACTGCACTCCAACTTTTGTAACAGAGTGAGATCCTGGGGAAAGAAAGAAATGGAATGGACTAGAGTGTAATAGAATGGAATGGAGTGGAGTGGAGTGGAGTGGAGGGGAGTGGAATGGAGTGGAGTAGAGTGGAGTTGAATGTAGTGTAGTGGAGTGGAGAGGAGTGGAATGCAGTGGAGTGGAGTGGAGTGGGGTGGAGTGGAGAGAAGTGCAATGGAGCCGAATGGAATGGAGTGGAATGGAGTGGAGTGGGGTGGAATGGAGTGGAGTGGGGTGGAATGGAGTGCAGTGCAATAGAGTGGAATCAAATAAAGTGGAATGAAACCGAGTGGAGTGGAGTGGAATAGAGTGGAGTGGAGTGGAACGGAATGTTACAGAATGGAAAGGAAAAAAACAGAACGGAAAGGTGAAGGGAAATGTGTGCTGAGATTGTGACACTAGGCTACAGCCTCTGTGACAGAGGGAGATCCTGTCGAAAGAAAGGAGAGAAAAGGAAGGGATTGGAATGGAATGGAATGGATTAGAGTGGAGTGGAGTGGAATGGAGTGGAGTGGAGTGAAGTGGAATGGAATGGAATGGAATGGAATGGAATGGAATGGAATGGAATGGAATAGAATGGAATGCAATGCAATGGAATTGTAATGAAGTATGAGCTGAGTTTGTGCCACTGTGCTCCAGGCTGGGTGAGAGAGTGAGATACTCTCAAAAGAAAGGAATGGAACGGAAAGCAGTGGAATGGAATGGAGTGGAAGGGAATGGAATGAACAGCAGTAGAGAGGAGTGGAGTGAAATGGAGTAGAGTGGAATGGAGAGGAATGGAATGGGACGGAATGGAATGGAATGAATTGGAGGGGAGTGGGGTGGTGTGGACTGCAGTGGAATGGAGCTGAATGGAATGGGAAGGATTGGAATGGAGTGGAGTGGTGTGCAGTGGAGTGGAAAGGAGTGGAATGGAGTGGAATGGATTCTGATGTAATGAAATGTAGTGGAGTGGAGTGGAGTGGAGTGGAACGGGATGGAATGGAATTTTCTTGAATGGAATGGAATGTATTGGAATGGAATGGAATTGATTGGAATGGAATGGAATACAATGGAATAGAATGCAATGCAATGGAAAGTTGACATGTAATGTGAGCTGAGATTGTGCCACTGCACTCAAGCCTGGGTGACACAGTGATATCTTGTCGAAAGAAAGGTATGGAATGTATTGGAGTGAAATGGAATGGAATGGAATGGAATGGAATGGAATGGAATGGAATGGAATGGAATGGAATGGAATGGAGTGGAATTAATTCGATTGGAGTGTAGTGGATTGCAATGGAGTGGAGTGGAGTGGAACGGAGTGGAAAAGAGTGGAATGGAATGGGATGGAATGGAATGGAGTGGAGTGGACTGGAATGGAGTGGAGTGGAATGGAGTGGAATGGAATGGAGTGGAGTGAATTTGAGTGGAGTGGAATGGAGAGGAATGGAATGGGGTGGAATGGAAATAAATGAAGTTGAGTGGATTGGGGTTGAGTGGAGTGCAGTGCAAAGGAGCGGAATTGAATGGGTTGAAGTGGAATGAAGTGGCGTGGAGTTCAGTGGAGTGGGGAGGAGTGTAATGGAGTGGAATAGAAACGGATGTAATGGAATGTAGTGTATTGGAGTGGAGTGAAGTGGAACGGAGTGAAATGGAATGTAATGGAATAGAATGGAATTGAATGGAATGGAATTGTGAAATAAAATGTGAGCTTAGATTGTGACACTGAGATCCATGCTCAGTAATAGAGTGGAATGGAGCTGAATGGAATGGGAAGGATTGGAATGGAGTGGAGTGGTGTGCAGTGGAGTGGAATGGAGTGGAGTGGAGTGAAGTGGAATGGAATGGAATGGAATGGAATGGAATGG
>NC_000024.10:10967284-10969992 GCF_000001405.40 Homo sapiens | reverse complement strand
AGTGGAATGGAATGGAATGGAATGGAATGGAATGGAATGGAATGGACTGGAGTGGAGTGGTGTGAAGTAGAATGGAGTGGAATGGAGAGGAATGGAATGGGATGGAATGGAATGGAATGAAGTTGAGTGGATTGAGGTGCAGTGCAGTGCAGTGGAATAGAGCGGAATGGAATGGGATGGAGTGGAGTAGAGTGTAGTGGAGTGGAATGGAGTGGAATGAAATCGGATGTAATGGAATGTAGTGGAGTAGAGTGGAGTGGACCGCATGGAATGGAATGGAACGGAATGGAATTGAATCGAATAGAATTGAACAGAATGGAATGGAATGGAAAGAAATGCAATGGAATAGAATGCAAAGCAATGGAAAGTTAACCTGTAATGTGAGCTGACATTCTGCCTGTGCTCTCCAGCCTGGGTGACACAGTGAAATCCTGTCAAGAGAAAGGAATGGAATGCAATGGAGTGCAATGGAATGGCATGGGTTGGAATGGAATGGAGTAGAGTGGAGTGGAGTGGAGTGGAGTGGAATGGAATCGAATGGAATGGGATGGAGTGGAGTGGGGTGGAGTGAAATAGAATGGATTGGAATGGGACGGAATGGAATGCAATGGAATGGTGTAAATAAATGGAAGCTAAGATTGTGCCAATGCACTACAGCCTTTGTGACAGAGTGACATTGTGTGGAAAGAAAGGAATGGAATGGAATGGAGTGGAATGGAATGGAATGGAATGGAGTGGAGTGGAGTGGAGTGGAGTGAAGTGGAATGCAGTGGAGTAAAATGGAGTGGAGAGGAATGGAGTGAAGTATAGTGGAATGGACTGGAGGGGAGTGGAATGGAGTGGAGTGGAGTGCAGTGGAAATAAGTGGAATGGAATGGAGTGGAATGTAGTGGGTTGGAGTGGAGTGGTGTTTAGTGGAATGGAGTGGAGTGGAGTGGAGTGGAGAGGAGTGGAGTGGAGTTGAATGGAGTGGAGTGGAAGGGAGTGGAGTGGAACGGAGTGGAACAATACGGAACATAAGGGAACGGAACAGAACGCAAAGCAATAGAATGGTGAAAATAATGTGTGATGAGATAGTGCAACTACTGTACACCCAGTGGGACAAAGGGAGATCCTGTCAAAAGAAAGGAGTAGAAGAGAAGGAATTGGAATATAATGGAATGGAATGGCCTTGAGTGCCATGGAGTGGCATTGAATGGAGTGGATTGGAGTGCAGTGGAATGGAAAGGAATGGAATGGAATTGAATGGAATGGAATGGAAAGGAATGTCATGGAATGGTGAATTGAAATGTGAGCTGAGATTGTGTCACTGAACACCAGCCTGGGTGACAGTGTGAGATACTCACAAAGAAAGCAATGGAATGGAATAGAGTGGAATGGAAAGGAGTGGAGTTGAGTAGAGTTGACTGGAGTGGTGTGGAGTGGAAAAGAGGGGAACGGAATGGGATAGAATGGACAGAAGTGGAGTGGACAGGAATGGAGTGGAGTGGAATGGATTGGACTGGAGAAGAGTGGATTGGGGAGGAGTGGAAAGGAATGGAATGGAATGGAATGGAATGGAATGGTGAAATGAAATGTGAGCTGAGATTAAGTCACTGCACACCACGCTGGGTGACAGAGTGAGATACTCTCGAAAAAAGAATGGAATGGAATGCAGTGGAATGGAAAGGAATGGCAGGGACTGGAGGTGAGTGGAAGGGACTGAAGTGGAGTGGAGTGGAATGGAGAGGAATGGAATGGGAAGTAGTGGAATGGAGTGGAGTGGAGTGGAGTGGAGTGGAGTGGAATGAGTTGGAGGAGAGTCAAGTGGAGTGGAATGAGTGGAGTAGAGAGGAGTGAAATGGAATTGAGTGGAGTGGAGTGGAGTGTCCTGGAGTGGAGTGGAGTGGAGTGCAGTGTAACGGAATCTGATGGAATGTTGAAAAGAAATGTGTGTTGAGATTGTGCCAGTACACTACAGCCTGTGTGACAGTGATAGATCCTGTCGAAAGAAAGGAGTGGAATGGAAGGGATTGGAATGGAATGGGATGAAATGGAAAGAAGTGAAGTGGAGAGAGGTGGAGTGGATTGCAGTGGAATGGAGTGGAATGGAATGGGATGTAGTGGAATGGAGTGAAGTGGAGTGCGGGGGAGTGGAATGGAGTGGAATGGAATCGCATGTAATGTAAAGGAGTGGAGTGGAAAGGAGTGGAAAGTAATGGAATTGAATGAAAAGGAAGGAGATAGAATCGAATGGATTGCACTGGAATGGAATGGAATGGAATGGAATGCAATGGAATGCAATGGAACAGAATGTAATGCAATGGAAAGTTGACATGTAATGCGAGCTGAGATTGTGCCACTGCACTCCAGCCTGGGGGACACCGTGACATCCCGTTGAAAGAAAGGATTGGAAGGCAATGGTGTGAAATAATGGAATGTAATGGAATGGAATGTAATGGAATGGAATGGAATGGAATGGAATGGAATGGAATGGAATGGAATGGAAAGGAAAGGAATGGAATGGAGTGAACTGGAGTGTAGTGTACTGGGGTCGAATGGAACGGGATGCAAAGGAATGGTACGGAGTGGAGTGGAGGTGAGTGAAATATAGTGGAAAGAATGGGATGGAATGGATAACAATGGAATGGTGAAAGAAATGTGAGCTGATATTGTATCACTGATTTCCAGCCTTTTTGACGGAGTGAGATCCTGTGGAAAGAAAGGAA
>NC_000024.10:10962533-10965694 GCF_000001405.40 Homo sapiens | reverse complement strand
GACTGTGCCACTGTGCTCAAGGCTGGGTGACAGAGTGAGATACTCTCAACAGAAAGGAATGGAATGGAATGCAGTGGAATGGAATGGAATGGAATGGAATGGAATGGAATGGAATGGAATGGAATGGAATGGAATGGAATGGAGTAGACTGGAGTGGAGTGGAGTGAAGTGGAGTGAAGTGGAATGGATAGGAATACAATGGGATGGAAAGGAATGGAATGAAGTGGAGTGGAGTGAGGTGGAGTGGAGTGCAGTGGAAAGCAGCCGAACGGAAGAGGATGGAGTGGAATGGAGTGGAATGGAGAGCAGTGGAGTGGAGAAGAGTGGAATGGAGTGGAATGGAATCGGATGTAATGGAGTGAAGTGGAGTGGAGTGGAACGGAGTGGAATGGAATGACTTCGAATGGAATACAATGGAACGAAATGAAATGGAATGGAATGCAATGGAATGCAATGGAATAGAATGGAATGCAATGGAAAGTTGACATGTAATGTGAACTGAGATTGTGCCACTGAACTCCAGCCTGGGTGACACGGTGATATCCTGAGGAAAGAAAGGAATGGAACACAATGGGGTGTAATGGAATGGAATGGAATGGAATAGAATGGAATGGAATGGAGTGGAGTGGAGTGAAATGGAGTGGAATAGAGTTGAACACAATGGGATAGAGTGGAATGGAATGGAGTGGAGAGTAGTTGAGGGAAATAGAGTGGAATGGAATGGGATGGAATGGAATGCAATGGAATGTTTAAAAAATGTGTGCTGATATTGTGCCACTGCACTCCAGCCTTTGTGACAGAGTTAGATCCTGTGGAAAGAAAGGAATGGAATGGAATGGAGTGGAATAGAATGGAATGGAGTGGAATGGAGTCCAGTGGAGTGCAGTGGAGTGGAATGGAGTGGAGTGGAATGGAGTGGAGTGGAATAGATTGGAGTGGAATGGAATGGATTGGAGTGGAGTGGATTGAAGTGTAGTCAAGTGGATTCGAGTGGAGTGGAATGGAGTGGAGTGGAGTGGAGTTGAATGGAAAGGAATTGAATGGAGTGGAGAGGAGTGGAGAGTAGTGGAGTGAAGTAGAATGGAGTCGAATGGAATGGGATGGAGTGGAATGGAATGGAGTGGAGTGGAGAGGAGTGGAGTGGAGAGGAGTCGAGTGGAATGGAATGGAATGGTATGGAATGCTGAAAAAAAGTGTGCTGAGATTGTGCCATTACATTACAGCCAGTGTGAACGAGGGAGATCTTGTCAAAAGAAAGCAGTGGAATGGAAGGGATTGCAATGGAATGGAATGGAATGGATTGGAATGGAGTACAAAGGAATTGAGTGCAGTGGAGTGCATTGTAGTTTAGTGCAACAGAATGGAATGGAAAGGAGTGCAGTGGACTGGAAAGGAATAGAGTGGGTTGCAATGGAATTAACTGGAGTGGAGTGGAGTGGAATGGAATGGAATGGAATGGAATAGAATGGAATGGAATGGAAAGGAATGGAATGGAAAGGAGTGGAGTGGATTAGAATGAAATGGAGTGCAGTGGAGTGGAATGGACTGCCGTGGAGTGGAGTGGAGTTGAGCGGAGTGGAGTAAAGTGGAAAGGATTGGAATGCAATAAGATGGAATGGAAAGCAGTGGAGTGGACAGTAAAGGAATGGAGTGGACTGGAGTGGAATGTATTGGAGTGGAGTGGAGTGGAGTAGAGGGTAATGCAATAGAATGGAAAGGAATGGATAGGAATGCAATGCAATGCAATTCAATGCAATGCAATGTAATGCAATGCAATGCATTGGAATACAATGCAAGGCAAAGGAAAGTTACATGTAATGTGAACTGAGATTGTGCCACTGCACTCGAGCATGATTGACACAGTGATATCCTTTCAAAAGAAGGGAATGGAATGTAATGGAGTGAAATGTAGTGAAATGGAATGGAATAGAATGGAATGGAGTGGAGTGGAGTGGAGTGGAGTTGAATGTAGAATGGAACGGGATTGAGTGAAATGGAAGAGAGTGGAGTGGAATGGAGTGAAATAGAGTGGAATGGAATGGGATGGAATGGAATGCAAGGAAATGCTACAAAGAAATGTGAGCAGAGATTGTTCCACTGCACTCCAGCCTTTGTGAGCGAGAGAGATCCTGTGGAAAGAAAGAACTGGAATGGAATGGAGTGGAATGGAATAGCGTGGAGCAGAGTGGAGTGGAATGTAGGGGAATGGAGTGGAATGGAAAGAATGGAGTCTAATGGATTGAAACGGAGCAGAATGGAGTGGAAAGGAATGGAATGGAGTGGAATGGAAAGGAATGGAAAGGTGTGTAATGGAATGGAATGGAGTAGAATGGAGTGGAGTAGATTGGTATGAAGTGGAGTGGAGTGGAATGGAATAGAGTGGAATAGGTTGGACTGGAGTGCTGTGGAGTGGAATGGAATGGAGTGGAGAGGAGTGGAGTGGGGTGGAGTGGAATAGAATGGAGTGGAGTGGAATGGTATGGAGTGGAGTGGAAGGGAGTGGAGTGGAATGGAGTGGAGTGGGGAGGACTGCAGTGGAGTGAAGTGGATTGGAGTCGAATGGATTGCAGTGGAATAGAAAGGAATGGAGTTGGGTGGAGTCGAATGGAAAGAAGTGGAGTGGAGTGAAGTGGAATTCATTGGGTTCGAGTGCACTCGAGTGGAATGGAGTGCAGAGGAGTGGAACGGAGTGGAGTGGAATAGAATGAAATGGCCCAGAATGCAATTGAAGGGAATGGAATGGAATGGAATGGAATGGAATGGAATGGAATGGAATGGAATGGATTGGAGTGAAGTGGAGTGGAGTGGATTGGAGTAGAGTGGTGAGGAATGGAGGGCAATGGAGAGGAATGGAGTGGAATAGAATGGAATGGAGTGTAGTGGAGTGGAATGCAGAAGAGTGGAGTGGAATTGAGTGAGGTGGAGTGGAGTGGAGTGGGTTTGAATGAAATGGAGTGGAGTGGAATGGATTGGAATGGAGTGGAGTGGCATGGAATAGAGTGGAGTGGAATGCAATGGAATGGCATGGAGAAGAATGGAGTGGAATGGAGTGGAGTGGAGTGAAGTGGAGTGGAATGGAGTGGAATGGAGTGGAGTTTGTGGAGTAGAGTCGAGTGGAGTGGAGTGCAGTGGATTGGAATGGAATGGAGTGGAGAGTGGAA
>NC_000024.10:10957767-10961625 GCF_000001405.40 Homo sapiens | reverse complement strand
AATGCAGTGGGGAGGAGTGGAATGGAGTGGAGTGGAGTGGAATGGAATGGAATGGAGTGGAATGGAATGGAGTGGAGAGGAAGGGAGTGAAATGGAGTGGAAGGTAATGGAGTGGAACGGAGTGGTATTGAGTGGAATGGAGTAGAGTGGAGTGGAATGGATGAGGAATGGAATGGAGTGGAGTGGTGTGGAGTGGAGTGGAGTGGAATGGAATGGAGTGTAGTGGAGTGGAGTGGAGTGGAGTGGGGTGGAATGGAGTGGAATGGAGAGGAAGGGAATGCAGAGGAGTGGACTGGAATGGAATAGATTGGAATGGGGTGGTGTGGAGTGGAATGGAGTGGAGTGGAGTGGACTGGTGTGGAGTAGAATGGAATGGAATGCAGTGGAGAGGAGTGGAATGGAGTGAAATAAAATGGAATGGAGTGGAGTTGAATGGAGTGGAGTGGAGTGGAATGGAATGGAGAGGAGTGGACTGGAGTGTCCTGCAGTGGAGTGGAGTGGAATGCAGTGGAGTGGATTGGAATGGAATGGCATGGCGTGGAATGGAGTGGAATGGAATGGAGTGGAGTGGGGTGGAGTTCAGTGGAGTGGAAAGGAATGCAATGGAATCTAATGGAATGGAATACAATGCAATGCAATGGAAAGTAGACATGTAATGTGAGCTGAGATTGTGCACCTGTACTGCAGCCTGGGTGACACAGTGACATCCTGTCGAAAGAAATTGACAGATTGCAATGGAATGAAATGAAATGGAATGGAATGGAATGGAATGGAATGGAATGGAGTGTTTTGGAGTGGAGTGGGGTAGAATGAAGTGAAGAGGAGTGGAAAGGAGTCGAATGGAATGGAATGGAGTGGAATGTAATGGAGTGGAGTGGAGTGAAATAGAGTGGAATGGAATTTGAGGAATAGAATGCAATGGAATGGTGAAAAGAAATGTTAACTGAGACTGTGCCAGTGCACTTCAGCTTTTGTGACAGAGAGAGTTAATTTGGAAAGAAAGGAGCGGAATGGAATTGATTCGAATGGAACTGAGTGTAGTAGAGAGGTGTGGAGTGCAATGGAGTGGAATGCAAAAGGATGGAGTGGACTGGAGTGGAATGGAGTGGAACAGAGTGGAATGGAATGGAGTGTAGTGCAGTGGAATTGGAGTGGAGTGAAGTGGAGTGTATTGTAATGGAGTTGAGTGGAGTGGAGTGGAGCAAAATTTAGTGCAGTGGAGTGGATTGCAATGGAGTGGAGTGGTGTGGAATGGAATGGAATAGAGTGGAGTGGAGTGGGGTGGACTGGAATGGAGTGGAACGGAGGGGAACGGAAAGCATTGGAGTGGACTGAAGTGGAATGGAATGGAATGGAATGGAATGGAGTTGAGTGAAACGAAATGGAGTGGAGTTGAATGGAATGGAGTGGACTGGGGTATAGTGTAGTGGAGTGGGGAGGAATGGAATGGACTGGAGGGGAATGGAATGAAATGGAGTGGTGTGGCATCGAATGGAGTGGAATGGAGGGTAGTGGAAATAAAAGGAATCAAATGGAATGGAATGCAATTCAATGCAATGCAAAGCACTGCAAAGCAAGACAATGTAATGCAATGCAAAGGAATAGAATGCAATGCAATGGAAAGTTGACATGTAATGTGAAGAGAGATTGTGGCACTGCACTCCAGTCTGAG
Source organism: Homo sapiens (assembly GCF_000001405.40). Taxonomy (NCBI): domain Eukaryota; kingdom Metazoa; phylum Chordata; class Mammalia; order Primates; family Hominidae; genus Homo; species Homo sapiens. Next base: position 10,959,953 of record NC_000024.10, on the reverse strand, counting down.
TGACCCAGTGATATCCTGTGGAAAGAAAGGAATGGAATAGAATGGAGTGAAATGGAATGGAATGGAATGGACTAGAATGGAGTGGACTGGAGTGTAGTGCAGTGGAGTTGAATGGAGTCGAATGGAATGGGAAGGAATGGAATGGAGTGGAGTGGAGTGCAGTGGAGTGGAGAGGAGTGGAAAGGAGTGGACTGGAGTGGAATTGAGTGTAGTGGAGTGGAGTGGATTGGAGTGCAATGGACTGGAGTAGAGTGGAATGGAACGGAATGGAGTGGAGTAGAGTGGAAGGGAGTGGAGAGGAGTAGAAGGAATGTGTAGAGGAGTGGAATGGAGTGTAGAGGAGTGGAGTGGAATGGAATGGAGAGGATTGTAATGGAATGGAGTAGACTTGAGTGGAGTGGAATGGAGTGGAATGGAGTGGAGTCGAGTAGACTGGAGTGGAGTAGAGTGGAATGGAATGGAGTGGAGTGGATTGGAATGGAGAGCAGTGGAATGGAGTGGAGTTGAGTGGAGTGCAATAGAGTGGAATGGAATGGAGGGGAATGGAATGGAGTGGAATGGATTGAAATGGAGTGAAATGGAGTGGAGTGGTGTGGAGTGTAGTAGAATGGAATAGAATGGAGTGGAATGAAGTGGAGTGGAATGGAATGGAATGGAATGGAATGGAATGGAATGGAATGGAATGGAATGGAGAGGAAGCAGTGGAATGGAAGGGAAGCAGTGGAATGGAGTGGAATGCAGTGGAATGGAATAAAGTGGAATGCAATGGAGAGGAAAGGAATGGAATGGAGTAGAATGGAGTGGAATGGATTGGAGTGGATTGGAGTGGAGTGGAATTGAATGAATTACAATGGAATGGATTAGAGTTCAGTGGAGCAGAATGGAATTGAATGGAATGTAGTCGTGTGCAGTGGAGTGGACTGGAATGGAATGCAATGGAATGGAGTGGAGTGGAATGGAATGGAGAGGAGTGGAATGCAATGGAGTGGAATGGAATGGAATAGAATGCAGTGGAGTGAAATAGAATGGAGTGCAGCAGAACGGCATGAAATGGAGTTGAGTGGAGTGGACTGGAGTGGACTGGAATGGAGTGGAATGGAATGCATTGGAATGGAATGGAATGGAATGGAATGGAGTGGACTGGAATGGAGTGGGAAGGAATGGAATGGAGTGGAGTGGGGTGGAATGGAGTGGAGTGGACTGTAATCAAATGGAGTGGAATAGAATGAAATTGAGTGGAGTGCAGGGGAATGGAATTCAATTGAATGTAGTGGAGTGGAGTGGAGTGGAATGGAATGGAATAGAGTGTAGTGGACTGGAGTGGAGTGGAATGGAATGTAAAGAAATTGAATGGAATGGAGTGGAATGGAGTGGAGTGCAGTGGAATGGAATGGAATGGAGTGGAGTGCAGTGGAATGGAATGGAATGAAATGGAATGGAATGGAAAGGAATGAAATAGAATGCAATGCAATGGAATGCTGACATGTAACGTGAGCTGAGATTGTGCCACTGCACTTAAGCCTGCGTGACACAGTGATATAGTGTTGAAAGAAAGGAATGGAATGCAATGGAGTGAAATGGAATGGAATGGAATGGAATGGAATGGAATGGAATGGAATGGAATGGAATGGAATGGAATGGAGTGGATTGGAGTGGAGTGGAGTGGAGTGGAATGTAGTCGAATGGCATGTTATGCAGTGGAATGGAATGGAGTGGAGTTGAGAGGAGTGGAGTGGAAAGGAGTAGAACAGAATGGGATTGAGTGGAATGGAATGGAGTGGAGAAAAGTTGAGTGAAATAGAGTGGAATGGAATGGGATGGAATGGAATGCAATGGAATGGTTAAATGAAATGTGAGTTGCAATTGTGCCACTGCACTCCAGCTTTTGTTACTGAGAGAGATCCTGTGGAAAGAAAGGAATGGAATGGAATGGAGCGGAATGGAATGAAGTGGGGTGGAGTGGAGTGTAGTAGAGTGGAGGGGAGAGGAGTGGAATGGAATGGAGAAGAGTGGTGTGGAATTGAGTGAGTGGAGTGGAGGCGAGTGGAGTGGACTGCAATGGAATGAACTGGAATGGAATGAAGTGAAATAGAATGGAGTGGAATGGAATGGAGTGGAGTGGAGTGGAATGGAATGGAGTGGAATGAGAATGGAATAGATTTGACTGGAGTAGGAATAGAATGCAG
>NC_000024.10:10923564-10956868 GCF_000001405.40 Homo sapiens | reverse complement strand
TGGAGTGGGTTGCAGTGGAATGGAGTGCAGTCAAATGGAATAAAGTGGATTGGGGTGGAGTGGTGGAATGGAGTGGAGTGGAGTGAAATGGAATGCAGTGGAGTGTACTGGAGTGGAATGGGTTGGAGTGGAGTGGAGAGGAGTGGAATGGAATGGAGTGTAGCGCAATGGAGTGGAATGTAGTGGAGTGGAGTGGAGTGGATTCGAGTGGAATCAAATGGAATGGAGTTGAATGGAGGGGAATGGAATGGAATGGAATGGAATGGAATGGAATGGAATGGAATGGAATGGAATGGAATGGAATGGAGTGGAGTGCAGTGGAGAGCAATGGAGTGGAATGGAGTGGGGTGGATTTGATTGCAATGGAATGAAATGGAATGGAGTGGAGGGTAGTGAAGTGGAGTGGCGTGGAATTTAATGGAATGGAGTGCATTGGAATGGAATGGAATGGAATGGAATTGAGTGAAGTGGAATGTAATGGAATGGAGTGCATTGGAATGGAATGGAATGGAATGGAGTGGAGTGAAGTGGACTGGAGTGGAATGCAACGCAGTGGAGTGGACTGGAGAGAAATGAGTTGCAGTGGAGCGGAGTGGAATGGATGGAATGGAGTGCAATGGAATGGAATGGAGTGGAGTGGATTGGAGTGGATCCGAGTGCAATGGAATAGAAAGGAGTGGAATGGATTGGAATGGAGTGCAGTGAATTGGAGTCGAGAGCAATGGAGTGGAATGGAGTGGAGTGCAATGGAAGGTAAACCAATGGAATGGAATTGAGTGGAGTGGAGTTTAGTGGAGTGGAGTGGAGTTGAATTTAATGGAATGGAGTGGAATGGAATTGAATAGAATAGAATGGAGTGGAATGGAATGGAATGCAATGCAATGCATTCCAATGCAAAGGAATGCAATGGTGTGAAAAGCAATGCAATGCAATGGAAAGTTGGCCTGTCATATGAGCTGAGATTGTACCACTGCACTCCACCCTGGCTGACACTGTGATATGTTGTCAAAAGAAAGAATAGAATCCATTGGTGTGAAATGGAATGGAATGAAATGGCGTGAAGTGGAGTAGAAATGAGTGAAGTGGGGTGCAGTGGAGTGCAAAGGAGTGGAGTGGAAGTGGTGTGGAGTGGAGTGGAGTGGAGTGAAAAAGCGTGGAGTGGAATTCTATGGAATGGTATGCAAAGGAATGGTGAAAAGAAATGAGAGCTGATACTGTGCAACTGCACTCCAGCCCTTTTGACAGAGAGAGATCCTGTGGAAAGAAAGCAATGGAATGGAATGGAGTGGAATGGAATGGCCTGGAAGTGAGGGGAGTGCAGTGGAGTGGAATGGAGTGGAATGGAATAGAATGGAGTGGAATGGATTGGAGTAGAATGGAATGGAAGGGTGTGGAGTGGAGTGGAATGGAGTGGAATGAAATGGAATGGAGTGGAGTGGAGTGGACAGTAATGGAATGGAATGGAGTGGAGTGGAGTGGAATGGAGTTGAATGTAATGGAATGGAAGAGTATGGAATGGAGAGGAGTGGAATGGCATAGGGTGGAGTGGAATGGAATGGAATGGAGTGGAATAGAATGGAGTGGAGTGGAGTGGAGTGGAATGGAGTTGAATGTAATGGAATGGAAGAGTATGGAATGGAGAGGAATGGAATGGCATAGGGTGGAGTGGAATGGAATGGAATGGAGTGGAATAGAATGGAGTGGAGTGGAGTGGAGTCGACTGAAATGGAGTGGAATGGACTATAATGGAGAGTAGTGTAGTGTAGCGTAGTGTAGTGTAGTGGAGTGGAGTGCAATGGAATGGAATGGAATGGAACGGAGTGGACTGGACTGGGATAAATTGGAGTGGAATTGAGTGGAGTAGATTGAATTGGAGTACTGAGGAGTGGAATAGAGTGGAGTGTAGTGGACTGGAATGGAATGGAGTGGAGTGGACTGGAATGGAGGGGATTGGAATGAAATGGAGTGCAGTGGAGTGGAATGGAGTAGAGTGAAGTGGAATGGAGTAGATTGGAGTGGAATGGAGTAGAGTGGAGTGGCAAGGAATGGAGCTGAGTGGAGTGAAGCAGAGTGGAGTGGAGTGGAATGGAGTGTACTGGAGTGAAATGGAGTGGAGTGCAGAGGAGTGGAATGGAATGCAGTGGAGTGGAGTGGAATGAAATGGATAGGTGTAGAGTGGAGTGCAGTTGAGAGAAATGGAGTGGAGTGGAATGGAATGGAGTGGAGTGGAGCAGAATGGCATGGAGTGGAATGGAATGGCGAAGAGTGGAATGGAATGGAATGGACTGGAATGGATTGGATTGAAATGGAGCAGAGTGGAATGGAGTAGAGTGGATTGGAGTGGAGTGGAATGCAAAGGAGTGGATTGGAGTGGAGTGGAGTGGAATGGAGTTTAGTAGGGTGGAGTGGAGTAGAATGGAATCAAGTGGAGGGGAGTGGAGTGGATTGGAGTGTATTGGAATGAAATGGATTAGAGTGGAGTGGAGTGGAGTGGATTGGAAAGAAGTGGACTGGAATGGAGTGGAGTGGAATGGAATGGAGTGGAATGAAGTGGAATGGAATGGAATGGAATGGAATGGAATGGAATGCAATGGAGAGAAATGAAATGGAATAGAGTTGATTGGAGTGGAGTGGAGTGGAATAGAGTGGAGTGCAGTGTAATGGAGTCGATTGGAACAGAATGGAATGGAGGGGATTGGAATGGAGTGGAGTGCAATGAAATACAGTGCAGTGGAGTGTAATGGAGTGGAGTGGTGTGGAATGGAGTAGAGTGGAAAGGAATGGAATGGAATGGAATGGAGTGGAGTGAAGTGGAGTCGAGTGGAGTGGAATAGAGTGGAGTGGAATGGTGTGTAACGGAATGGAATGGGGTGGAGTAGAATGGAACGGAAGGGAGTGGAGAGGAGTGGAATGGAATCGAATGGAGTGGAGTGGACTGGAGTAGAATTAATGGAGTGTAGTGGAGTGGACTGGAATGGATTGGATTGGAGTGCAGTGGTGTAGAATGGAGTTGCATGGAAAGGAATGGAGAGGAGTGGAATAGAATGGACTGGAGTGGAGTGGTGTGCACTGGAATGGAGTGTAGTGGACTGGAATGGAGTTTAGTGGAGTGAATTGGAGTGGAATGGAGTGGAGTGGAGTGAAGGGAAATAGAATGGAATGGATTGGAGAGGAAAGGAGTAAATAGGCATGGAGTGAAGTGGAGTGGAATGGAGTGGAGTGGAACGGAATGGAGTAGAGTGGAGTGGAATGGCATGGAGTGGATTGGAATGGAGAGGAGTGGAAAGGAATGGAGTGGACTGTAATGGAATGGATTGGAGTGTAGTATAGTGTAGTAAAATGCAGTGGACTGTAGTGGAGTGGAGTGGAGTGGAATGGACTGGAGTGGAGTGGAGCCTAGTGGAGTGTAATGGAGAGGAGTGGGGTAGTGTGGAGTGGAGTGGTATGCAGTGGAGTGGAATGGAGTGCAGTGGAATGGAGTGGAATGGAATGGAGTGGAAAGGAATGGATTGGAATGGAAAGGAGTGTTGTGGAGTGGAGTGTAATTGAAAGGAATGGAATGGAATGGAGTGGTGTGCAGTGGTGTGGAGAAGAGTGTTGTGGAGTGGAGTAGAATTGAGTCAAAAGGAATGGGATGGAGTGGATTGGAATGGAATGGATTGGAGTGGAGTGTAATAGAGTTGAATGGAATGGGATGGAAGGGAATGCAATGGAATGGTGAAAAGAAATGTGAGCGGAGATGATGCCACTGCACTCCAGCGTTTGTGACAGAGAGACATCCTGTGGAAAGAAAGGAATGGAATGGAATGGATTGGAATCCACTGGAGTGGAGGGGAGTGGTGTGGACAGGAATGGAGTGGAATGGAATTGAATGGAATGGAGTGGATTCGAGTGCAATGAAGTGGAATGAAATGGAATGGAGTGTAGAGTAGTGGAGTTGAGTGAAGTGGAGTGGAGTGGAATGGAATGTAGTTCAGTGTAGTTTAGTGGATTAAAGCATAGTGGAGTGGAGTGGAGAGGAGTGGAATGGAGTGGAGTAGGGTGGACTGGAATGGAGTGTATTGGAGTTGCATGGAAGGGAAGAGAAAGGAGTAGAGAGGACTACAGTGGAATGGAATGGAAAGGAATGGAGTGGAGTGCAATGAAATGGAGAGGAGTAGAATGGAATAGAATGGAGTGGAGTTGAGTGGAATGGAGTGGAGTTGAATGAAGTGGATCGGAGTGGAATGGAGGGGAGTGGAATGGAATGGAATGCCATGGATTGGAGTGGTGTGGAGTGGAGTGCAGTGGAGTGGAATCGAATGCAGTGGAATGGAGTGGAATGTAATGGAATGGAATGGAGTGGAAAGAAATGGAGTGTAATGGAATGGAGTGGATTGGAATGGAATGGAGTGGAATGGAATGGAATTGAGTGGAGTGGAGTGGAATGTAATAGATTGGATTAGAAAGGAATGGAATGGAATACATTGCAGTGGAGTGGAATGGGGTGGAGTCAAATGTAGTGGAAAGGAGTGGAATGGAATGGAATGGAATGGAAAGGAGAAGAGAGGAGTGGAAGGGACTCGACTGGAGTGGAGTTCAATGGAATGGAATGGAATGGAATGGAATGTAGTGGAATGGAGTGGATTGGAGTGGAATAGAATGGAAAGGAATGGAGTGGAATGGAGTGGATGGGAAGGGATTGGAGTGGAATGGAGTGGAGTGGAATGGATTTCAGTGGAATGGAGTGTAGTGGAGTCGAATGGAATGAATTGGAATGCAATGGAATGGAATGCAGTGAAGTGGAATGGAGTGGAGTGGAGTGGAATGCAGTGGAGATGGAGTCAAATGGAGTGAAATGGGGTGGAATGGAAAGGAGAGGATTCTATTGGAATAGAGTGGAATTGAATGGGTTGGAGTCAAAAGCACTGGAATGGAAAGGAATGGAATGGAGAAGAGTGGAATGGAATGGAATAGAGTGGAGTGGAACTAATGGACTGGAATTGAGTGGAATGAAATAGAATTGAATGGAGTGGAACGGAATGGAATGGAGTGAATTGCAATGGTATGGAGTTGAATGGAGAGAAATAGAAGGGAGTTGAGTGGAGTGGAATGGGGTGGAATATAGTGGAGTGGACTGGAGTGGAGTGGAGTGGAATGGAATGGAATGGAGTGGAATAAAATGGAATGGAATGGAATGGTGAAATGGAAGTTGAGTTAAGATTGTGCTACTGAACCCCTGTCTGGGTGACAAAATGTGATACATTCGAAATAAAAGAATGGAATGGAATGGAGTAGAATGGAGTGGAGTCAAGAATCATGGAGTGGAGTGGAATGGAATGGAATGTAGGGGAATTGAATGCAATAAAATGGTGAAATGAAATGTGACTTGAGATTGTGCCACTGCACTCCAGCTTGGGTGACAGCGTAATCCTGTCGAAAGAAAATATTGCAATGGATTGCTCTGGCATGGAATGGAATGGTGTGGAGTGGAGTTGAAAGGAGTGGAATGGAATGGGGTGGATTGAAATTGAGTGGAGTGGAGCAGATTGGAATGGAATGGAGTGGAGTCTAGTCGAGTGTAGTGGAAAGGAGTGGAGAGGAGTGGAATGGAATGGAATGGAATGGTGAAAAGAAATGTGTGCTGAGATTGTACCACTGTGCTACAGCCTGTGTGATAGAGGGAGATCCTTTGGAAAGAAAGGAGTGGAATGTAAGCGATTGCAATGGAATGGAATGAAATGGAATGAAGGGGAGTGGAATGGAGTGTAGTGGAGTAGAGTGGAAGGGAGTGGAATAGAATGGAATGAAATGGAATGGAGTGGAATGGAGTGCAGTTGAGTGGAATGGAATGGAATGGAGTGGAATGGAATGGAATGGATAGGAGTGGAATGAAATGGAGTGTACTGGAATGGAATTGAGTGGAGTGCAATGGAATTGAAGGGAATGGAATGGAGTTGAGTGGAGTGGAGTAGAGTGGAATGGAGTGGAGTGGAATGGAGTGGAGTGGAATGCAGTGGAGTGGAGCGGAGTGGAATACAGTGGAGTGGAGTCAAATGGGGTGGAATGGAAAGGAGTGAATTCGATTGGAATAGAGTGGAATGGAATGGGCTGGAGACAAAAGGATTGGAATGGAATGGAACAGAATGAAATGGAATGGAGTGGAGGGGAATGGAATGGAATTGAGAGGAGTGGAATTAATGGAGTGGAGTTGAGTGGAATGGAATGGAATTGAATGGAGTGGAATTGAGTGGAACGGAATGGAATGGACTGAATTGGAATGGAATGGAGTGGAATGGAGTGAAATAGAAGGGAGTGGAGTGGAGTGCAATGGAGTGGAATGTAGTGGAGTGGTGTGGACTGCAGTGGAGTGGAATGGAATGGAATGGAATGGAGTGTAGTGGAATGGAATGGAGTGGATTAGAGTGGTGTGGAGTGGAATGGAGTAGAGTGGAGTGAAGTGGACTGGACTGGAATGGAATGGAATGGAATGGAATGGAACGGAATGAAATGGAATGGAATGGAATGGTGAAATGAAAGTTGAGTTAAGATTGTGCTACTGCACTCCAGTCTGGGTGACAGAGTATGATACATTCGAAATAAAAGAATGGAATGGAATGGATTAGAATGGAATGGAGTGAAGAGTCATGGAGAGGAGTGGAATGGAAAGGAATGTAGAGGAATTGAATGGAATAGAATGGTGAAATGAAATGTGACTTGAGATTGTGCCACTGCACTCCAGCTTGGGTGATAGAGTAATCCTGTCAAAAGAAAATATTGGAATGGATTGCAGTGCCATGGAAAGGACTGGTGTGCAGTGGAGTAGAAAGGAGTGGAATGCAATGTGATGGAATGAAATTGAGTGGAGTGGAGTGGAGTAGATTGGAATGGAAAGGAGTGGAGTCTAGTGGAGTGTAGTGGAAAGGAGTGGAGTGGAATGGAATGGAATGGAATGGAATGGAATGGAATGGAATGGTGAAAAGAAATGTGTGCTGAGATTGTGCTATTGTGCTACAGCCTGTGTGACAGAAGGAGATCCTTTTGAAAGCATGGAGTGGAATGTAAGGGATTGCAATGGAATGGAATGAAATGAAATGGAAAGGAGTGGAGTGGAATGGAATGGAGTGGAATAGATTGGAATGGACTGGAATAGAACGGAAAGCAATGGAATGGAGTTTAGTGGAGTGGAGTGCAGTGGAAAGGAATGGAATTGAAAGGAATGGGATGGAGGGGAATGGAGTGGAATGGAATGGAATGGATTGCAGTGGAATGAAATGGAGTGTAGTGGAACGGAATGGAGTGGAGTGGAATGGAGTTGAGTGGAATGGAATGGAGTTGAGTGGAGTGGAGAGGAGTGGAATGGAGTGGAGTGCAATGGAATAGATTGGATTGGAATGGAATGGAATGGATTGCAGTAGAGTGGAATGGAGTGGAGTGAAATGGAGTGGAATGCAGTGGAATGGAATGGAATGGAGTAAATTGGAGTGCAGTGGAATGTACTGGATTGGAGTGGAGTTGAATGGAATGGAATTGAATAGAATGAAATGGAAAGGAGTGGAATGGAGTGGATTGGAGTGGAATAGAATGGAAAGGAATGGAGTGGAGTGGAGTGGAATGGATTCGAGTGGAGTGGAGTGGAGTCGAGTGGAATAGAATGAAAGGGATAGGAGTAGAGTGGAATGGAGTGGAGTGGACTGGCGTGGCGTGGAGTGGAGTGGAATAGAATGGAGTGGAGTGGTGTAGAGTGGAATGGAGTGGAGTGGAGTGGAGCATTGTGGAGTGGACTGGAGTGGAGTGGAATGGAGTGGAGTGGAGTGGATTGAAGTGTTGTGGAGTGTAGTGCAATGGAATGGAATAGAATGGAATGGAATGGCATGGAATGGAATGCAGTGGAATGGAATGGAAGGAAATGGAATAGACTGAAAAGCTATGGAAAGCTGACTTTCCATTCCATTCAGTGGAATTCCATTCCACTCCATTCCATTCGATTCCCCTCTATTCCATTTCATTGGAGTAGAGTGGAGTGGAATGGAATGGAAAGGATTGCAATGGAATGGAGAAGTGGAGTGGATTTGACTAGTGTGGAGTGGAGTGCAGGTGAGTGGAAACGAAAGGAGTGGAATGGAATGGAGTGGTGTGGAGTGGAGTGGAATGGAATGAAGTGGAGTGCACTGGAATGGAATGGAGCAGAGTGGAATATTATGGAGGGGAGTGGAATGGAATGGAGTGGAATTGAAAGGATAGCAATGGAGTGAATTGGAATGGAGTGGAGTGCAGTGGGGTGGAATGGAATATCGTGGAGTGGACTGGAGTGGACTGGGTTGGATTGGAGTTGACTGGAATGGCATGCAATGTATTGGAATGTAGTGGAATGGAGTGTAGTGGAGTCGATTGGAGTGGAATGGAATGGAATGGAGTAGATTGGAATGGGATGGACTGGAATTTAATGAAACAGAATGGAATGGAGTGGAGTGGATTGGAGTGGGAATTAGTGGAGTGGAGTGGATTGTAATGGAATGGAATGGAATGGAATAGAATGGAGTGGAGTTTAGTGGAGAGGTGTGGAGTGGAATGGAATGGAATGGAATGGAAAGGAATGGAATGGTGTGGACTGGAATGGAATGGAATGAAGAAGAGGGATGTGGGGTGGAATGGAGTGCAGTGGAATGGAACAGAAATGAATGCGATAGAGTGGAATGGAGTGGAGTGGAGAGTAGTAGAGTGGAGATGAGTTTAATGGAGTGGAATGTAATCGGATGTAATGGAATGCAGTGGAGTGGAGTGGAGTTAAGTGGAACAGAGCAGAATGGAACAGATCAGAAGAAAACGGAACGGAATGGATTGGAGTAGATTGGAGTGGACCACAGTGCAGTGTAATGGATAGGAATGGAATGGAGTGGAGTGGAGAGGACTGGAATGGAGTAGAGTGGACTGAAGTAGATTGGAGTGTACTGGAGTGGAAGGAAGTGGAGTTCAGTGGAATGGAGTGGAGAGGAATGGAGAGGAGTGGAATGCAGAGGAGTGGAACGGAGTGGAATGGAATGGAATGGAATGGACTGGAGTGGAGTGGAACGGAGTGGAATGGAGTGAAGTGGAATGGAATGAGTGCAGTCGAATGGAATGGAGTGAAATGGTTTACAGTGGCGTGGAGTATTGTATAATGGATAGGAGGGGAGTGGAGTGGAGTGGAATGAAATGGAGTGGAGTGGAATGGAATGGAGTGGAATGGAATGGAGAAGAATGGAATGGAATGGAATGGAATAGAATGGAATGGAATGAAATGGAATAGAGCAGAGTGAAACGGAATAGCATTGAGTGGAATGAAATGGAGTGGAGTTGAAAATAATGGAGAGGAGTGGAGGGGAGTGGAGTGGATTGGAGTGGAATGAAATGGAATGCAATGGAGTGTAGTGGAGTAGAGGGGAATGGAGTGGAATGGAATGTAGTGGAGGGGAGTGTAGTGGAATGGAAGGAATGGAATGGAGTGGTGTGGAGTGGACTGGAAAGGAATAGAATGGAGTGGAGTTGAGTGGAGTGGAGTGGAGTGGAATGGAATGGAATTGGGTGGAGTGGAATAGAATGGAGTGGAATGGAATGGAACGGAATGGACTGCATTGGAGTGAAGCGGAGTCGAATGGCATGCTGTGCATCGGAGTGCAGTGGAGTGGAATGCAATGGAAAGGAATGGAATGGATTGGAGGAGTGCAGTGGAGAGGAATTGAGTAGACTGCAGTGGAATGCAATGGAATGGAATTGAGTGGAGTGGAGTTGACTAGTGTGGAGTGCAGTGGAGTGGAAAAGAATGGAGTGGAATGGATTGGAGGGGAGTGGAGTGGAATGGAGTGGAATGGAATGGAAAGCAATGGACTGGAGAGTAGTGGAGGGAAATGGAATTAATGGAATGGAGTGGAGGGGTGTGTAGTGGAATGGAATGGAATGGAGTGTAGTTGAGGGGGTGGAGTGGACTGGAATGGAATTGGGTGGAGTGGAATGGAATGGAGTGGAATAGAATGGAATGGACTGGATTGGAATGGAGTGGAGTCGTATGGAGTGGTGTGCATTGGAGTGGAGTGGAGGGGAATTGAATGGAAGGGAATGGAATGGAATGGAGGAGTGGAATGTAGAGGAATTGAGTGGTGTTGAGTGGAGTGCAGTGGAATGGAATGGAATGGAATTGAATGGAGTAGAGTGGACTAGGATGGAGTGCAGTGGAGTGGAGTGGAAAGGAATGTAATCGAATGGAATGGAGTGGTGTGGAGTGGAGTGGAATGGAATGGAATGGAGTGGAGTGGAGTGGAGTGCACAGGAATGGAATGGAGAGGAGTGGAATGGAATGGAGTGGAGTGGAATGAAATGGAGTGGAGGGAAAAGGATTGGAATGGAATGAAGTAGAATGGAGTGGAGTGGAATGGAATTGAGTGGAATTGACTGGACTGGAGTGGGTTGGAGTGGAAAGGAGTGGAGTGGAGTGGAGTTCAGTGGAGAGCAATGGCATGGAATGGAGGGGAACGGAATGGAGTGGAGTGGATTGAAGTGAAATGAAGTGGAATGGAGTGTAATTTGGTGGAATGAACTGGAATGGAGTGGAATTGAATGGAATGGAGTGTAGTGGATTGGAGTGGAAGGGAATTGAATGGAATGATCTGGAGTGGAGTAAGTTGGAGTGGGAAGGAGTGGAGTGGAGTGGAGATCAATGGCATGGAATGGAGTGTAATGGAGTGGAACTGAGTGGAGTGCAGTGGATTGAAAAGGGATGGAATGGAATGGAGTGGAACTCAGTGGAATGGAAAGAAATGGAAAGGAATTGAACAGAATGGAGGGGAGTGCAGTGGAGTGCATTGGAGTGGAATGGAGTGGAGTGGAGTGGATTGTAATTAAAGGGAATGGAATGTAGTGGAGTGGAGTGGAGTGGAATGGAATGAAATGGAGTGCAGTGGAATGAAATGGTATGCAATGCAAGGCAATTCCGTTCAATGGAATGTAATGACTTGCAATGCAATTCAATGAAATGGAATAGAATGCAATGCAATGAAAGTTGGCAGGTAATGTGAGCTGAGATTGTGCCACTGCACTCCAAACTTGGTAACACAGTGATATTCTGTCAAAAGAAAGGATTGGAATGCAATGGTATGAAATGAAATGGAGTGGCGTGAGGTGCAGTGGAAAAGAGTGGAGTGGAGTGCAATGGAGTCGAATGGAATGGAATGGAGTGGAATGGAATGGAGTGGAGTGGAGTGAAAAAAAGTGGAAAGCAGTGGGATGGAATGTAATGCAATGGAATGGTGAAAATAAATGTGAGCTGATATTGTGCCTCTGCACTTCCGACTTTTTGACGCAGAGAGATCCTGTGTAAAGAAAGGAATGGAATGGAATGGAGTGGAAAGAAATGGAGTGGAAGAGAGTGGAGTGAAGTGGAGTGGAGTGGAATGGAATGGAAAGCAATGGAATGGAATAGAGTGGAATGGAGTGGAGTGGAATGGAATGGGTTGGAATGGAATGGAATGTAGTGGAATCGAGTGGAGTGGAGTGGATTGGAGTGTAATGCGGTGGATTGGAATGGAGTGGAGTGGAATGGGAAGGAATGGAATGGAATGGAACGGAATGGATTGGAATGGAATGGAATGAAATGGAATAAAACGGAATGGAGTGGAGTGGATTGGAGTGGACTGGAGTTGAGTGGAGTGGAGTGGAGTGCAGTGGAGTGGAATGGAGTGGAGTAGAATGGAGTGGAATGGGATGGAGTGGAGGGGAGTGGAATGGAGTCGAATGGGGAGGAATGGAGTGGAATGGAATGGAATGGAATGGTGTGGAATAGAGTGGAATGGATTCTTATGCAATGGAGTAGAGTTGAGTGGATTGGGGTGTAGTGGAGGGGAGTGAAATGGAGTGGAATACCATGGGATGGAATGGAATGGATTGGAGTGGAATGGAAGGGAGTGGAATGGAAGGGAGTGGAACGGAATCAAGTGAAGTGGAATGAAATGGAATGGAGTGAAAGGGAATGGAATGGAATCGAGTGGAGTGGAATGAAATGGAATGGAGTGCACGGGAATGGAATGGAATGGAGTGGAATGCATGGAGTGGAGTGGAGTGGAATGGAGTGTAGTGAAGAGGAGTGGAGTCGAGTGGAGTGGAGTGGAAGGGAGAGGAATGGAGAGGAGTGGAGTGGAGACAACTGGAATGGAGAGGAGTGGAGTGGTGAAGTGGAATGGAATGGAGTGGATTGGAGTGGAGTTGAGTGGAGTGGAGTGTAGAGGAATGGAAGGGAATGGAATGGAATCGAATGAAGAGGAGTGGACTGGAGTGGAGTGGAGTGGACTGGAGTGGAGTGGAGTGGAATGCAGCGCAATGGCGTATAATGGAGCAGACTGGAATGGACTGGAGTGGTGTGGAATGGAGTGGAGTGGTGTGTAATGGAGTAGTGTGGAATGGAATGGAGTGGAGTGGAGTGGAATGGATGGACTGCTGTGGAATGGAATGGAATGGAGTGGAATGGAGAGGACTGCAGTGGAGTGGGGTGGAGTGTAATGGAGTGGAACGGAATGGAATGGAAAGGAATGGAGTGGAGTGGAGTAGAGAGGAATGGACTGGTATGGAATTCAGCGGAGTAGAGTGAAGTTGTGTGGAGTGGGGTGGAATGGAATGGAGTGAAATGGAGTGGGATGGAGTGGAGAGGAAGTGAATGGAAGTGAATGGAATGGAATGGAATGAAATGGATTGGAATGCAATGGAATTGAATGGAATATAGTGGAATGGAATGAAATGGAATGGAATGGAATGGAAAAGTGTTTAATGGAGTGGAGTGCAGTGGATTGGAATAGACTGTAGTGGAGTGGAATGGAATGGAGTGGAATGGATTGGATTTGAGTAGAAAGGAGTGGAGTGGTGTGAAATGTAGTGGAGTAGAATGGAATGGATTGGAGTGAAGTGGAGTGGAATGCAAGTGAGTGCAGTGGAGTGGAATGAAATGGAGTGGAGAGAAATGGTAGGGAGTGAAGTGGAGTGGAGAGGAATGGAGAAGAGTGAAGTGGAGTGCAAAGGAGTGGAGTGGAGAGCAGTGGAATGCAAGTGAGTAGAGTGGAGCGGAATGAAATGGAATTGAATAGAATGGAGTAGAGTGGGTGGACTGGAATGGAATGGAGTGGAATGAAGTGGAGTGGAGTGGACTGGAATGCAGCGGAGTGGAATGGAATGTAATAGAATGGAGTGAACTGGAGTGGAATGAAGTGAAATTGAATAGAGTGCAATGGAATGGAGTGGAGTGCAGTGGAGCAGAGTGAAGTGGAACGGAGGGCAGTGCAGTGAAGTGGACGGGAAAGGAGTGGAATGGAAAGGAAATGAGTGGAATGGAATGGATGGGAGAGTAGTGGAGTGGAATAGAGTGCAGTGGAATGGAATGGAATGGAGTGGATTGAAGTGGAGAGGAGAACAATGAAGTGGAGTGTAGTTGAATGGAAAGGAGTGCAGAGGAGTGGAGTGGAGTGGTGTAGAATGGAGTGGAATGGAATGGAATGAAATGGAGTGTAGTAGAGTGGAGTGTAGTGGAATGGAGTGGAATGGAGTGGAGTGGAGTGGAATGGGATGAAATGGAATGGAGTGTATAGAGTGGAGTGGAAACGTGTAGAATGGAATGGAACACAGTGCAATGTGATGGAGTTGAGTGGAGTGGAGTGGAATGCAATGGACTGTAGTGGAGTGTAGTTGACTGAAGTGCAGGTGAGTGGAATGGAATGGAATGGTATGGAGTGGACAGGAGTGGAGTGCAGTGGAATGAAGTGGAATGGAATGGAGTGGAGTGGAGTGCAGTGGAGTAGAGTGGATTGGAATGGAATGGAGAAAAGTGGAGTGGAATGGAATGCAGTGGAGTTGAAAGGAATGGAATGGAATTTAATCGAAGGGAATGGAATGGAACAGAATGGAGTGGAGTGGAGAGGAACGGAATGGAGGGGAGTGGAGTGGAATGGAATGGAATGGAGAGGAATGGA
Source organism: Homo sapiens (assembly GCF_000001405.40). Lineage (NCBI taxonomy): Eukaryota > Metazoa > Chordata > Mammalia > Primates > Hominidae > Homo > Homo sapiens. Next base: position 10,942,904 of record NC_000024.10, on the reverse strand, counting down.
GTGGAGTGAAATGGAGTGAAATGGAGTGTAGTGGAATGGAATACAATGGAATGGAAGTGGAATAGAATGGAATGGAGTGGAATGAAATGAAGTGGAATGGAGTGTAATGGAGTGGGGTGGAGTGGATTGGAGTGGAGTGGATTGGATTGGAATGGAATGAGTGGAGTGGAATGGAGTAGAAAGGAGTGGAATGGAATGGAGTGGAGTGGAATGGAATGGAGTGGAGTGGAGTGGAATAGAATGAAGTGGAATGTAGTGGAATGGAATGGAGTGAAATGGAATGGAGTGGAGCAGAGTGAAGAGGAGTGGAGTGGATTCGAGTGGAATGTAGTGGAGTGGAATGGAATGGAATGGATTGGAGAAAAGTGAAATGGAATTTAGTGCAGTGGAGTGGAATGCAATGGAGTGGAGGGGAATGGAATGGATTGGAGTGGAGTGGAGTGGAGTGGAATCGGTGGACTGGAATGGAATGAAGTGGAGTGGAATGGAATGGAATGGATTGGAGAGGAGTGGAGTGGAGTGGAGTTAAGTGCTTAGGTTGGAGTGCGGTGCAGTGAAACGGAATACAAGGAGATGGAATGGAATGGAGTGGAGTGGAGTGGATTGGAATGGAATGGAATAGGGTACAGTGGAATAGAATATAGTGGAATGGAATGGAACGGAGTGGAGAAATGTAATGTCAGCCAAGATTGTGCCGCTGCTCTTCAGTCTGGGCGACAAAGGGAGATCCAGTCAAAAGAAAGTAATGGAATGGAATGGAGTAGAATGAAATGGAACGGAGTGGATGGGAGAGGAGTGGAGTAGAGTAGAGTGGAATGGAATTGAGTGGAGCAAAAAGGAATGGAATGGAATGAAATGCAATAGAATTGAATTGAAGGGGAAATGAAATGTGAACTGAGATTGTGCCACTGCACTACAGCATGGGTGACCGAGTGAGATACTGTCTAAAGAAAATATTGGAATGGAATGAATTTGAATGGCATGGAGTGGAGTGGAGTGAAAGGAATAGAATTGAATGGGACAGAATGAAATGGTGTGGAATGGAGTGGAGTAGAGGGGAATGGAATGGAGTGGAGTGGTGTTGGGTGGAAATGAGTGGACGGGAGTGGAGTGCATTGGAATAGAGTGGAGTGGAATGGAGTGAAGTGGAGTGGAGTGGAATGGAGTATCATGGAGTGGACTGGAATACAGTGGATTGGAGTGAATTGGAGTGGAATGAAGTGGAGTGGAGTGGAATGCAGTGTAGTGCAGAGGAAAGGAAAGGAATGTAGTGGAATGCAGTAGAATGGAAAGGATTGGAGTGGAATGCAATGGAATAGAGTGGAGTGGAGTGAAATGCCATGGAGTGGAGTGGAATGGAGTGGAGTGGAATGGAATGGAACTTAATGGAATGGAACGGTGTGCAGAGGAATGGAGTGGAGTGGAGTGGAATGGAGTGAAGAGGAGTGGAATAGAGTGGAGTGGAGTGGAATGGATTGGAGAGTAGTGGTACCGAATGGAATGGAGTGGAGTGGAATGCAGTGGATTTGAGTGGAGTGGAGTTGAGTGGAATTAAATGCAATTTAACGGAATGAAATGGAATGGTGAAAAGAAATGTTAGCTGAGATTGTACACAGCACTCCAGCCAGGGTGAAATAGTGAGATCCTGTTGAAAGAAAGAAATGGAATGGAATGGAATGGCATGCAATGGAATGGAATAGAATGGAATGGAGTGGAGTGGAATGCAATGGAATGAAGTGGAGTGGAGTAGAGTGCAGTGGAGTCGAATGGAATGCAATGTAGTGGAGTGGAGTGGAATGGAATGGAGTTGAATGGAATGGAGAGGAGTGGAGCAGAGTTGAGTAGAGTGGAGAGGAGAGGAGTTGAGTAGAATGAAGTGGAGTGGAGAGGAATGCATTGGAGTGGAGTGGAGTGGAGTAGAGTGGAATGGAATGGAGTGGCATGGAGTGAAATAGAATGGAATGGAAGGGAGTGGAGTGGAGTGGATTGGAATGGAGGGGAGTGGAGTGGAATGGAATGGAGTGCAGTGGATTGTAATGGAGTGGAGTTGAGTGGAATACAATGGAGTGGTGTGGAGTGGAATAGAATGGAGTGCAGTGGAGTGGAATGGAATTGAGTGGAGTGTAATAAAATGAAATGGAGTGGATGGAGTGGAGTGGAGTGGAGTGGAATGGAATAGAATGAAGGAAAATGCAATGGAATGGAATGAAACGGAATGGAACGTAATGGAATGGAAGGGGAAATGAAATGTGAGCTGAGATTGTGCCACTGCTCTCCACCATGGGTGACAGAGTGAGATCCTGTCGAAAGAAAATATTGGAATGCAATGGAATGGAATGGAATGGAATGGAATGTACTGGAGTGGAGTGGAAAAAAGTGGAATTGAATCAGATGGAAAGAAATGGAGTGGAGTGGAGCGTAGTAGAGTTCAGTGGAAAGGAGTAGAGTGCAGTGGAGTGGAAAGGAGTGGAGGGGTGTTGAGTGGAGTGGAATGGAATGGAATGGAGTGGAGTGGAATGGAGTGGAATGGAGTGGAGTGGAGTGGACTGGAGTGGAGTGGCGTGGAGTGAAGTGGAGGGGAGTGGAATGGAGTGGATTGGAGTGGATTGGAGTGGAGTGGAAAGGAATTGAGTGGAATGGAATGTAATTGAATGTAAGAAGTGCAGTGGAGTGGAATGCAGTGCACTGGAGTGGAATGGAATGAAATAAAGAGGAATGGAGTGGAATGAAATGGAGTGAAATGGAGTGTAGCAGAATAGCATGGGATGGAAAGGAAAGGAATGGAGTGGAGTGAAATGGAGTGGCGTGGAATGGAATGACATGGAGTGGAGTGGAATGCAGTGGAATAAAATGGAGTGGAATGGAGTGGAGTGGAGTGAAGTGGAGTGGAATGGAAAGGAGTGAAGAGGAGTGGAGTGGAGTAAAGTGGAGTGGAGTAGAGTGGAGTTCAGTGGATTGGAATGGATTGGAGAGGAATGGAGTGTAGTGGAGTGGAGTGAAATTGAATGGAATGGAATGGATTAGAGTGGTGTGGATTGGTGTGGAATGGAATGGAATGGAATGGAATAGAGCATACTGTGGTGGAATGGAATGGACTGGAATGGAGTGGAATGGAATGGAATGGAATGGAGTGGAGTGTAATGGAATGGAGAGGACTGGGGTGAAGTGAAGTAGAGTGGAGTGGAGTGGACTGCAATGAAGTGGATTGGAGTATATTGTAGTGGATTGGAGTGGAATGGAGTGGAATGGAATGGACTGGAATGGAATGGAATGGCGTGGAATGGAATGGGATGGAGTGGAGTGGAGTGAAATGGAGTGGAGTGGAATGGAATGTGGTCGAATGGATTGGAATGGACTCGAATGGAATGCAATGGAAGGGAGAGGAGTGGAGTAGAGTGGAGTGGAATGGAGTGGAATGCAATGGAGTGTAATGGAATGGAACGGAATTGAACGGAACAGAATGCGATGGAGTTGAGTGGGGTGGAAGGGAGTGGAGAGGAGAGGATTGGAGTAGAATAGAGAGGACTGGAGCAGAGTGGAGTGGATAGGAATGGAGAGGAATGGAGTGGTATGGAATGGAATGGAGTGGAAAGTAGTTGAGTGGAGTGGAATGGAATGGAACGAAATGGAATGGAATGGAGTGGAGAGGAGAGAAGTGGAGTGGACTTCAGTGGATTGTTTTGGAATGCTGTGGAATGGAAAGGAAAACAATGGAATGGAATGGAAAGACAAAATGAAATGCTGCTAAGATTGTGCCACTGCACTCCACTCTGGGTGACACACTGAGATCCAGTTGAAATAAAGGAATAGAATGGAATGGGGTACAATGGAATGGAAAAGAGTGGAGTGGAATGGAATGGAGTGGAATGAAGTGGAGTGGAGTGGAATGGAGTGGAGTGGAAGGGAGGGGAGTGGGATGAAATGGAGTGGAATACAGTGGAGTGGAGTGGAATGGAGACGAGTGGACTTCAGTGGAGTGGATGGGAGTGGCTTGGACTGGCATGGAGTGGAGTGGAATGCTATGGAATAGAATGGAATGGTGAAGAGAAATGAGAGGTAAGATTGTGCCACGGCACTCCACTCTGGGAGACAGTGTGGGATCCAGTGGAAATAAAGCAAGTGAGTGGAATGGAGTAGAAAAGTTTGGAATGCAGTGGAGTGGAATGGAATGAAGTTGAATGGAGTGGAGTGGAGTGGAATGGAGTGGAGAAAATTGGAGTGGAGTGCAATGGAGTGGAATGCACTGGAATGGAATAGAATAGAATCGAATGGAGTGGAATGGAATGGAGTGGAGTGGAGTGGAATGGAATGGAATGGAATGGAATGAAATGGAAAGGAGTGGAATGCAATGATGAAATAAAATGTGAGCTAAGATTGTGCCACTGCACTCCAATCTCGGTGACAAAGTGTGGTCCAGTCGAAACAGAGGAATGGAATGGAATAGAGTAGAATGGATTGGAATGAAGTGCAGAGGAATGGAGTATAATGGAGTGGAATGGAATGGAATGGAATGGATTGGAATGGAATGGAATGGACTGGAATGGAATGGAATGGAATGGAATGGGGTGGAAAGGACTGTAGTGGAATGGAATGGAGTGGAATGAAATGGAGTGGAGTGCAGTGGAATGGAGTGGACTGCAATGAAATGGAATGAATCGGAATGGAATGTCATGGAACGGAATGGAATAGAACGGAAAAGAACGGACTGGAGTGGAATTCAGTGGAGTTGTGTGGTGTGGATTGGTTAGGAATAGAATGGAATGGAATGGAATGGTGAAATGAAAGGTGAGCTAAGATTGTTCCACTGTACTGCAGTATGGGTGACAGAGTGCGATCCAGTGGAAGTAATGGAAAGGAATGGAATGGAGTAGAATGAAATGGAATGGAATGGAGTGGAGTGGAATGGTGTTGAGTGGAATGGAGTGGAGTGAAATGGAGTAGAGTGGAAAGGAATGGAACGGACTGGAAAGGAATGGAGTGGGGTGGAGTGGAGTTGACTGGAGTTGACCGGGGTAAAGTGGAATGGAATGGTATAGAATGGAGTGGAGTGGAGTGGATTGGAGTACAGTGGAATTAAATGGAATGGAGTGGAATGGAATGGAATGGAATGGAATGGATTGGAACAGAATGGAATGGAAAAAAACGGAGTGGAGTAAAGTGGAGTGGATTAGAGTTGAGTGGAGTGGATCGGAGTGCAGTGGAATGGAATGTAATAGAGTGGAATGGAATGGAGTTGAGTGGAGTGGAATGGACTGGAATGGAGTGGAGTGGAGAGGAGTGCTGTGGAGTGGAGTAGAGTGGACTTGAGTAGAGTGGAGTGGAGTGGACTGGAATTGAGTGGAATGTAATGGAATGGAATGGAGCAGAACAGCACGGAGTGGAATGGAGTGGAGTGGATTTGAATGGAGTGTATCAGAGTGCAGTGGAATGGAATGGATTGGAATGGAATGGAGTGGAGTGGAATGGAATTGATTGGAGTGCAGTGGAGTGGAATGGAATGGAATGGAATGGAATGGAATGGAATGGAATGGAATGGAATTGTGAAAGAAAACGTGAGCTTAGGTTGTGCCACTGAATCCCAGTCTGAATGACAGAGTTAGACCTGGTCAAAATAGAGGAATGAAATGGAATTGAGTAGAAGGGAATGGCATGGATTGGATTGTAAAGCAAGTGTGTGGAATGGAGTGGAGTGGAGTAGAATACAGTCGAGTGATATGGAGTGGAGCCGAATGGAGTGGTATTGAGTTGCATGCAGTGGAATGGAATGGAGTGAAATGGAATGTAATGGAATGGAATAGAAGGACGAAATGAAATGTGAGCTAAAATTATGCCACGCACTTCAGTCTGGGTGAGAGAGTGAGATCCAGTCGAAATAAAGGAAGGGAAGGCAATGTAGTAGAATGGAACGCAATTGAGCAGAGATGAATGGAATGGAGTGGAGTGGAGTGGAATTGAGTGGAGTGGAATGGAGTTCGGTGGAATGGAGTGGAGTTGGATGGAGTGGAGTGCAGTGGAGGGTAATGGAATGGAATGGAGTGGAATGGAATGCAATGGAATGAAGTGAAATTGAATGGAATGAAATGGAAAAGAATGGAATGGAATGAAGTGCAGTGGATTGGAGTGGAGTGCAGTGGAGTGGAGTGGAATGGAATTCAGTGGATTAGAATAGATTGGAATGGAACAGAATGGAAGGGAATGGATTGGAATGGAATGGAATGGAACGGAACAGGGTGGAGTGGATTGGAGTGGAGTGGAATTCAGTGGAGAGGATCACACTGCAGTGGAATGCAATGGAATGTAATGGAATGGAACAGAATGGAATGGAATTGGACAGAATGGAATAGAACAGACTGAAACAGAACGGAATGTTACAAAATGGAGTGGAGTAGAATGCAGTGGATTTGAGTGGAGTGGATCAGAGTTCAGTGGAATGGTTGGGAATGGAATGGAATGGAGTGGAGTGGAGTGGAATGGATTGGAGGGGAGTAGAGCGGAATGGAGTGGAATGGCTTGGAATGGAATGGAGTGAAGTGGAATGGAATGGAATTGAACAGAATGGAATGGAATCTAACAGAATGGAAAGGAATGCGACAGAATGGAATGGAATCTAAAAGAATGGAATGGAATGCGACAGAACAGAGTGGATTGGAGTGGAGTGGAGTTGAGTGGAGTGGATCAAAGTGCAGTGGAATGGAAAGGAATGGAACGGAATGGAATGTTATGGAATGGACTGGGATGGAACGGAGTGCAGTGAAGTGGAGTGGATTAGAGTTAAGTCTACTGGAGTAGAGTGGAATGGAATGGGTGGAGTGGAATGGGATGGAGTGAAATGGAATGGAATGGAGTGGAATGGAATGGAGTGAGTGAAGTGGAGTAGATTGGAATTGAGTGGAGTGGAGTGGAGGGCAATGGAGTGGAGTGGAGTGAAATGGAGTGGAGTGGAATGTAGTGGAGTGCAAAGGAATGGAGTGAAATTGAATGGAATGAATTGGAATGGAGTAGAGAGTAGTGGAATGCAGTTGAGTGAAATGGAGTGAAGTGTAATGTAGTGGAATGGAGTTGAATAGAATGGAGTGAAATGGAATAGAATGGAGTGGAATGAAATGGTGTCGATAGAAGTGGTGTGGAGTCGAGTGGAATAAAATGGAATGGAATGGAATCAAATGAAGTGGAATAGAATATTGAAATGAAATCTGAGCTAAGATTTGGCCTCTGCACTACAGTCTGTGTTACAGAGTGAGGTCCAGTCGAAATAAAGGAATGGAATTGAATGGATTGGAATGGAATGGAATGGAATGGAATGGAATGGAATGGAATGGAATGGAGTGGAGTGGAATGGAATGGACTGGAATGGAGTGGAGTGGAATGGAATGTAGTGGAAAGGAGTGGAATGGAGTGGACTGGAATGGAGTGGAGTGGATTGGAAGGGATTGGAGTGGACTGGAATGGAGTGGAGTGGAATGGAGTGAATTGGAATGAAGTGGAGTGGAAATGATTGGAGTGGAATGGGATGGAGTGCAATAGAATGGAGTGGGCTGCAGAGGAATAGAATGGAGTGGATTGGAATGGAATGGAGTGGAATGGAGTGGAGTGGATTGGAGTGGAGTGGTGTTGAAAGGAGAGGAACGAGTGAAATACAGTGGAGTGGAATGGAGTGGAGGGGAATGCAATGGAATGAAAGAGAATGGAATGGAATGGAACAAATTGGAATGGAGTTGATGGGAGTGCAGTGGGGTGGAGATGAGTGGAGTGGATCAGAGTGCAGTACAATGGAATGGAATGGAGTGGAATGAAGTAGAGTATAGTGCAGTGGATTGGAGTGTAATGCATTTTAATGAAGTGGAATGGAATGGAGTGGGGTGGAATGGAATGGAATGTAAAGGAATGGTATGGAATGGAACGGAACGGAGTGCAGTGGAGTGGAGTTGAGTGAAGTGGATACGATTACACTTGACTGTACTGGAATGGAATGGAATGGAATGGAAGGGAGTGGAATGGAATGCAGTGGAGTTGAGTTGAGTGGGATGGAATGCAATGGAATGGAATGGAATGGAATGGAATGGAATGGAATGGAATGGTGAAATGAAATGTTAGCTAAGATTGTGCCACTGCACTCCAGTCTGGGTGACAGAGTGAGACTCAGTCGAAATAAAGGAATGGAATAGAAAGGAGTAAAACGGAATGGAATGGAGTGTAGTGGAATGGAATGAAGTGGAGTGAAGTGGAGTGGAGTGGATTGGAGAGGAATGAAGTGGAATTTATTGAAATGGAGTGGGATTTATTGAAATGGAGTGGCATTGAATGGAGTGAAGTGGAATGGAATTGAGCGGAATGGAACGGAATGAAACAGAAGGGAACAGAAAAGAATGGAACGAAGTGCAGAGGAGTGGAGTGGAGTGAAGTGGATCGGATTATAGTGGAATGGAATGGAATGTAGTGTAGTGGAATGGATTGGAGTGGAATAGAGTGAAGTGGAGTGGAAAGGAATGGAATGGAGCGGAATGGAGTTGAGTGGAATGGAGCGGAGTAGAAAGAAGTGGCAGGGAGGGGAATGGAATTGAAATGAATGAAGGGGAATGGTATGAAATATAGTGGAATGGCGTGGAGATGAGTGGAGTTGAATGGAGTGGAATGGAGTGAAATGGAGTGGAGTGGAATGGAATGTAATGGAGGGGAAGGGAATGGAACACAACTGAGTGGAGTGGAGTGGAGTTGATTGAAGTGGATACCAGTGCTGTGGAATGTAATGTGATGGAATGGAGTGTAGTGTGGTGGAGTGTAGTAGAAAGGAGTGGAATGGAATGGAATGGAGGGTAGTGGAATTGAATGGAATGAAGTGTAGTCGAGTGGAGTGGAGTAGAGTGGAATGGAATGGAATGGAGAGGAAGGGAAAGGAATGCAGTGGAAAGGAATGGAATGGAATAGAAAGAAATGAAATGTGAACTAAGATTGTACCTCTGCACTCCAGTCTGGGTGACAGATTGGGATCCAGTCAAAATGAAGGAATGGAGTGGAATGGAGGAAAATGGAATGGCATGGAGAGGAGAAGAATGGAGTGGAATAGAATGGAATGGAATGGAACGAAGTGGAATGGAGTGGAGTGGAATGGAGTCGAGTTTAACGGAGTGGTATGGATTGGAATGGAATGGATTGGAGTGGAGTGGAGTGGAATTGAATGGATTGGAGTGGAGGGTTGAGTGGAGTGGAGTGGAACGGAATATAATGAAATGTAATGGATTGAAATGGAGAGGAGTGGAAGGGAGTGGAGTGTAATGGAATTTAGTGGAATGGAACTGAAAAGAACGGAATGGAATTCAATGTAGTGGAGTGGAGTGGAGTGGAGTTGAATGGAGTTGATCCGAGTGCTGTGGAACGGAATGGAATGGAAAGGAATGGAGTGAAATTTTGTGTAGTGAAATGGAGAGAAGAGGAATGGAGTGGAGTGGAGTTGAATGGAGGGAAATGGAGTGGGATGGAATGGAGTGGTGTGGAATGGAATGGAACGGAAAAGAATGCCATGGAGTGGAGTGGAGTGGAGTGGACTGGATCGGTGTTCAGTGGAAGAGAATTGAATGGAATGGAATGGAGAGAAGTGAAGTGGAGTGGACTGGAATGACATGGAATGGAATGGATTAGCATGGTATGGAAAGGAATGGAATGGAATGCAACGGAATAGAATGGAATGGAATGGAATGCAATGCAATGCAAAGGAATGAAATGGAATGGAATGGAAAGGAATGGAATGCAACAGAATAGAATGGAATGCAATGCAATGGATGGAATGGTGAAATGAATAATGAGTTAAGATTGTGCACTCCAATATGGGTGACAGAGTGAGATCCATTCGAAATAAAGGAATGTAATATAATGGAATAGAGTGGAATAGAATGTAATGTAGTGGAATGGAATAGAATGGAATGCAATGGAGTGTAGTGGAGTGGAATGTAGTGGAGTGGAATTGAGTGGAGTGGAATGGAGTGGAATGGTGTGGAATGGAGTGGAGTGGAGTGCAATGGAATGAAGTGGAATGGAATGGAATGGTAGGGAATGGAACAGAATTGAATGGAGTGGAGTTCAGTAGAGTGGAGTTGAGTGGAGCGGATAAGAGTACAGTGGAATGGAATGGAAGGGAATGGAGTAGAGTGGAGTGCAGTGGAGTTGAGTGGAATGGAGTGGAGTGGAATGGAATGGAATGGAAAGGAATGGAATGGAACGGAACAGACTAGAGTTGATTGCAGAGAAGTGGAGTTGAGTGGATTGGATCGCAGTGCAGTGGAAAGGAATGGAATGGAAAGGATGGGAATGGAATGGAATGGAATGGAGTAGAGTGGAGTGGAGTGGTGTGGAGTGGACTGGAATGGAAGGGAATGGAGGGGAACGGAATGAAATGGAATGGAATTGAATGATGAAATGAAATGTGAGCTAAGATTATGCCACTGCACCCCAGTCTGGGTGACAGAGTGAGATCCAGTCAAAATAAAGAATGGAATAGAAGGCAATGGAATGGAGTGGAGCAGAATGAAATAGAGTGTAAAGGAGTGGAATGGATTGGATTGGAATGGAGTGGAAGGAAGGGTAGTGGAATGAAGTGCAATGGAATGGAATAGAATGGAATGGAAAGGAATGGAATGCAATGCAATGGAATGGAATAGAGTGGAACGGAATGGAGTGGAGTGGATTGCTGTTGAGTGGAGTAGTGTGGAGTGGATTGGAATGGAATGGAATGGAGTGGAATGGAATGAAATGGAATGGGATCAAATGATGAAATAAAATGTGAGCTAAGATTGTGCCACTGCACTCCCGTCTGGGTAACAGAGTGAGATATAGTCGAAATAAATAATGGAATGAAGGGAGTAGAAGGGAATGGAATGGAGTGGAGCGGAATGCAATGGAGTGAAATGGATTGGAATTGAGTGGAGAGGAATGAAGGGTAGTGGAATGGAGTGCAATGGAATGGAATAAAATGGAATGGAGTGCAATGGAATGGAAAGTAGTGGAATGGAATATAATGGAGGGAAGTGGATTGGTGTTGAGTGGATTGGATTGGAGTGGAATGCAGGGGAATGGAGTGGAAAAGAGTGGAAAGAAATGGACTGAATGGGAGTCGATTGGGGTGGAGGGGAGTGGAGTGCAATGGAGTGGCGCGGAGTGCAGTGGAGTGGAGTGGAATGGAATGGAGTTGAATGGAATGGAATGAAGTGTAAGGGAATGTAGTGGAATGGAATGGAATGGAATGAAATTGAATGGAATACAATGGAATGGCATGGAATGTAAAGGAGTAGAGTGGAATGGAATGCAGTGGAATGGAATGCAGTCAAAAGGAACGGAATGGAATGAAGTGAAATGGAATGGAATGCAGTAGAGTTGAATGTAATGGAGTGGAGATGAATGGATTGGAGTGTATTGGAATGTAGTGGACTGGAGAGGAGTGGAGTAGAGTGAAATGGAGTGTCATGGATAGGAATGTAGTGGAGTGGATTGGACTGAAAAGGAGTGGAATGGGATGGAGGGGAGTGGAGAGGAGTGGAGTGTAATGGATTGGAGTGGAGTGGAATGCAATGGAGTAAAGTGGACTGCAGAGGAATGTAGTGGAATGGAAAGGAAAGAAGTGGACTGGAGTGGAGTCAAAAGGAGTTGAATGGAGTTGAGTAAAAGGAACTGGAGTGGAATAGTGGAATGGAGAGGAGTGGAGTGGAGTGGAATGAAATGTATTGGAACGGATTGGAAAGGAGTGGAGTGGAATGGAATGGAATGGAGTGGAAGAGAGTGGAATGGAGGGGAATGGAGTGGAATGGAATTTAATGGAATGGGGTAGAATGGCATGAAATGGAATGGAATGGAGTGGAATGGAGTGGAGTGGAGTTGAATGGAGTGGACTTGAGTGGAATAGAATGGGATGGAATGGAATGGAGTGGAAAGGAGTGGAAGGGAAAGGAATGAAAAGGAGTGTAGTGGAATGAAATGGAGTGTAGTGGAGTGGAATGGAGTGGATTGGGGTGGAATGGAGTGGAAAGGGGTGGAATGAAGTGGACTGGAGAGGAATGGAGTGGAACAGAATGGAGTGAAATGAAATGAAAAGGAGTGGATTGGAGTGGAATGGAGTGGAATGGAGTGCAATGGAAAGGAGTGGAGTGGAGTGGGGTGGAGTGGAGTGGAAAGGAATGAAGTGGAGTGGACTGGAGTTGAATTGAGTGGAGTGGAGTGGAATGGAGTGATGTTGAATGCAATCGAATGGAACGGAATGGAATGGAATGGAACGGAATGGAATGGAACGGGGTGGAGTGGAGTGGAGTGGATCGGAGTAGAGTGGAATGAGGTGGAATGGAGTGGAGTGGAATGGAAGGGAATGGAATGCAATGGAATGGAATAGAATGGAATGAAACGGAAAGGTGAAATGAAATGTCAGCTATGATTGTGCCACTGCACTCCAGTCTCTGTGACAAAGTGAGTTCCAGATGCAATAAACGAATGGAATGGAATGGAATAGAATGTATTGTAATGGAGTGGTGGGCAATGGAATGGAGTGGAATGGAGTGGAGTGGAGTGGAAAGGAATGAAGTGGAATGGAGTGGAATGGAATCAAATGGAATGCAGTGGAATGGAATGAAATGGAGTAGAATGGAATTGGGTGTAGTGGAGTAGAGTAGAGTGGAGTGGAATTGAGTGGAATGGAGTGAAATGGAGTGGAGTGGAATCGAGTGGAGTGGAATGAAATGGAATGGAATAGAATGGTAAGGAAGGGAATAGAACAGAATGGAATGGAACAAAGAGGTGAAGAGTGCAGTGGAGTTGAGTGGAGTGGATCGGAGTGCAGAGGCATGGAATGAAATGGAATGGAATGGAGTGGACTGGAGTGGAATGGACAGAAATGGAGTGGAATGGAATGGAGTGGAGTGGAATGGAATGGAATGGAACAGAATGGAATGGTCTGGAACAGAGTGGAGTGGAGTTAAGTGGAGGGTAGTGGAGCGGAGCGGATCCAAGAGCAGTGGAACGGAATGGAATGGAATGGAGGGGCGAAATGAAATGTGAGCTTAGATTGTGCCACTGCACTTCAGTCTGGGTGACGGAGTGAGATCCAGTCGACATAGAACAATGGAATGGAATGTACTAGAATGGAATGGAATGGAGTGGAGTGGAATGGAATGAAGTGGAATTGAGTGGATTGGAGTGGAGTGGAATAGAGTGGAGTGGACTGTAGTGGAGTGGAAGGGATTGGATTGGGGTGGAGTGGAGTGGAGTGGAGTGGACAGTAATGTAACGGAATGGGGTTGAAAGGAATGGAATGGAATGGAGTGCAATGGAAAGGAATGGAATGGAATGGAATGAAAAGGAGTGGAGTGGATTGGATTGGAGTGCAGTGGAGTAAAGTGGAATAGAATGCAGTGGAGTGGAATGGATTAGAACGGAACGGAGTTGAGCGTAACGGATCGGAATGGAATGAAACGGAACAGAACAGGGTGGAGTGGAGTGGAGTGGAATTGAGTGGAATGGATCGAAGTGCAGTGGAACGCAATAGCATAGAATGGAAAGTAAATGAACGTAATGGAATGGAACAGAATAGAATGGAATGGAATGGACTGGAACAGAACAGATTGTAACGGAATAGAGTCAATTGGAGTGGAGTGGTTTTGAGTGGAGTGGATCTGAATAGCGTGGAAAGGAACGGAATGGAATGGAACGGAATGGAATGGAATGGAATGGAGGGGAGTGGAGTGGAGTGCAGCAGAGAGGAATGGAGTGGAATGGAGGGAATGGAATGGAGTGGAGTGGAATGGAATCAAATTGAACAGAACTGAATGGAATGGAACGGAATGGAAAGGAACAGAACGGAATGAAGTGGAGTGCAGTGGGGTTGATTGGATCGAAGTGCAGTGGAATGGAATGGCATGGAATGGTGTGGAATGGAAGGGTATGGAGTGAAGTGGAAAGGAATGGAATGCAATGGAGTTCAGTGGAGTGAATTGGAGTGGCGTGGATTGGAGTGAATGTAGTGGTGTGAAGTGGAATGGGATGGAGTGAAATGGAAGGGAGTGGAGTGGAATGGAATGGAGTGGAGTGAAGTGGAGTTGAATGGAGTTGGGTGGAGTGGAGTGGAAAGGAGTGGAGTGGAGTGGAATGGAGTAAAATGGAGTAGAGTTCAATGGAATGGAGTCAAATGGAAAGGAATGAAGTGGAATCGAATGGAGAGGAGTGAAATGGAGTTGAGTGGAATGGAGCAGAGTGTAATGGAGTGGTATGGAGTTGAATAGAATGGAATGGAATGGAGTGAACTGGAATGGAATGGAGTGGAATGGAATGGAGTCTAGTGGAGTGGAGTGAGGTGGTGTGGAGTGGAAGGTAATGTAAGGTAATGTAATTTAATGGAATGCAATGGAATGGAAAGAAATGGAATGGAATGGAATGGATTGTTGAAATGAAATGTGAGCTAAGATTGTGCCATGGCACTCCAGTCTGAGTTACAGAGTGAGATCCAGTAGAAATAAAGAATGTCATGGAATTGATTAGAATGTAATCGAATGGAATGTATGGAATGGGATGGACAGGAATGAAGTTGATTGGAGTGGAATGGAGTGAACTGGAATAGAGTGGAATAAAACTGGATTGTAGTGGAAAGGAGAGGAATGGAGTGGAATGGAATGGAGTGGAGTGGATTGGAATGGATTTGGTAGGACTGGAATGGATTAGAATGGAATGGAGTGGAGTGGAATGGAGTTGAGTGGAATGGATTGGAGTAGAATGGAATGGAGGGGAATAGAATGGAGTGGAGTGGAGTAGAATGAAATGGAGTGGAGTGGAATGGAAGAGAGTGGAATAGAATGGAGTGGAGTGCAGTGGAGTGGAGTGGAATGGAGTGGAACGAGTGAAATGGAGTGGAGTGGAATTCAATGGAGTGGAATGAAACGGAATGGAATGAGACAAAATGGAATGAAGTGGATTGGAGTGGAGTGGGGTGGAGATAACTGGAGTGGATGAGAGTGCAGTGGAATGGAATGGAATGGAATGGAATGCAATGGAATGGAATGGAGTGGAGTGGAGTGGACTGTAGTGCAATGGAGTGGAATGGAGTGGAATGGAAAGGAGTGGAGAGGAATGTAATGGAAAGGAGCAGAATGGAATGGAATGGAAAGGAATGGAACGGAACAGAGAGGAGTGTAGTGGAGTGGAGTGGATCGTAGTACACTGGAATGGAATGGAAATGAAAGGAATGGAATTTAATGGAATGGAATGGAAGGGAGTGGAGTGGAATGGAATGGAGTGGAGTGCAGCAGAGTGGAGTGGAGTGGAATGCAATGGAATGGAATGGAGTGGAAAGGAATGGAATGGAACGATGAAATGAAATAAGAGCTAGGATTGTGCGACTTGAGTTCAGTAGGGGTGAGCGAGTGAAATCAAGGAGAAGTAAAGGAATGGAATGGACGGGAGTAAATTGGAATGGAATGGAGTGGAGTGGAATGGAATGGAGTGGAATGCAATAGAATGAAGTGGAATGGAGTGGAATGGAATGGAGTGGAGTGGAGTGGAATTGATTGAAATGGAGTGGGGTAGAATGGAGTGGACTGGAATGGACTTGAGCGGAATGGAACGGAAAGGAACGGAATGGAATGTAATAAGTTCACTGAAGTGGAGTGGAGTGGAGTTGAGTGCAGTGGATCGGATTGCAGTGGAATGGAATGGAATGGAATGGAGTTGAGTGGAATGGATTGGAGTGCAATTGAATGGAAAGGAATGGCATGTAGTGGAACGGAGTTTAGTGGAATGGAGTGGAGTGGCATGGAGTTGAATGAAATTGAATGGAATTTATGGGAATGGAATGGAATGCAGTGGAATGAAATGGAGTAGGGTGGAATGGAGTGGACTGGAATTGAGGGGAATGGAGTGAAATAGAGTGGAGTGGAATGGAGTGGAATGGAATGCAATGGAGGGGAATGTAATGAAATGGAACTGAATGGAGTGGATTGGAGTGGAGTTGTTTTGAGTGGATGCTTGTGCAGTGGAATGGAATAGAATGGAATGGAGTGGAGTGGAGTAGAATTGAGTGGAATGGAATGGAAAGCAGTTGAGTGGAATGGAATGCAGTGGAGTGGAGTGTATCAGTGTGGAGTGGAATCGAATTGAACGGAGTGGAATGGAATTGAATGAAATGGAGTGGAATGGAAATGAACGGAATGGAATGGAATGGAATGGAATGGAATGGAATGGAATGGAATGGAATGGAATGCAACGGAATGGAATGGAATGCAACGGAATGGAATGGAATGGTGAAATGAAATGTGAACTAAGATTGTACCACTGCACTCCAGTCTGGGTGACAGAGTGAGATCCAGTCGAAATGAAGGAATGAAATGGAATGGAGTAAAATGGAATGGAATGGAGAGGAATAGAAAGGAGTGGAATCAAATTGAATGGAATGGAATGGAATGGAGTGTAATGGAGTGGAGCAGAATGGAGTGGAGTTTATTGGAGTGGAATGTTTTGGAATGGAATGGAATGGAGTGGAATGCAATGGAGTAGAGTGGAGTGGAATGGAGTGTAATGTAGGGGAATGGAGTGAAATGGAGAGGAGTGGAAGGGAGTGGAGTGTAATGGAATGGAGTGAAATGGAATGGAAAGGAACAGAGTTGAGTGGAGTGGAGTGGAGTGGATTTGAATGGAGTTGATCGGAGTGCAGTGCAATAGAATGGAATGGAAAGGAATGGAGTGGAGTTTTGTGTAGTGGAATGGAGTGGAGAAGAGTGGAGTGGAGTGGACTTGAATGGAGTGAAATGGAGTGGGATGAAATGGAAAGTTGTGGAATGGAATGGAATGGAAAGGAAAGGAGTGGAGTTTAGTGGAGTGTAGGTGAGGGGAGTGGATCAGAGTTCAGTGAAATGGAATTGAATGGAATGGAATGGAGCGGAATGGAAAGAAGTGGAGTGGAGTGAAGTGGAGTGGAGTGGAATGAAATGGAATGTAATGGATTGGAATGGAAAGGAATGAAATGGAATGGAATGGAATGGAATGCAATGGGATGGAATAAAATACAATGGAATGGAATGGTGAAATGAATTGTGTGCTAAGATTGTGCCACAGCATGGCAGTATGGGTGACAGAGTGAGATCCAGTAGAAATAAAGGAATGGAATGGAATAGAATGAATTGAAATGGATTTCAGTGTAATAGAATGGAGTGCAATTCAGTGGAGTGGAATGGAATGTAGTGGAGTGGAATGGAGTGGAGTGGAATGGAATGGGATGGAGTGGGATGGAGTGGAGTGGAATGGAATGGAGTGAAATGGAATGGAATGGAAGGGAACGGAACAGTATGGAACAGAGTGGAGTGGAGTAGAGTAGAGTTGAGTGGAGTGGATCGGAGTGCATTGGAATGGAATGGAATGGAATGGAATGGAATGGAATGGAATGGAATGGAGTGGAGTGGAATGTAGTGGAGTGGAATGGAATGGAATGGAACAGAACGGAGTAGACTCGATTGGAATGGAGTGGAGTTGAGTGGGGTGGATCGAAGTGCAGTGGAATGGAATGGAATGGAGTGGAATTGAATGAAGTAGAATGGAGTGGAGTGGAGTGGAATGGAGTGGAATGGAATGGAATGGGGTGAAATGGAATGAAATGGAATGGAATCGAATGATGAAATGAAATGTGAGCTAAGATTTTGCCACTGCACTCCAGTCTGCGTGACAGTGTGACATCCAGTCGAAATAAAGGAATGGAATGAATGGAGTAGAAGGGAGTGGAAAGGAGTGCAGCGGAATGGAATGCAGTTTAA
Source organism: Homo sapiens (assembly GCF_000001405.40). Taxonomy (NCBI): domain Eukaryota; kingdom Metazoa; phylum Chordata; class Mammalia; order Primates; family Hominidae; genus Homo; species Homo sapiens. The sequence continues at coordinate 10,925,139 of NC_000024.10, read as the reverse complement.
TGGAGTGGAGTGGATTTGAATAGAGTGGAGTGGAATGAAAGGTAGAGGAATGGAATGTAATGGAATGGAATTGAAGGGAATGGTGTGGAATGGAATGGAATTGAATGGAGTGCAATGGAATGGAATGGAGTGGAATGGAATGGAATGGAATGGAGTGGAGTGGAATGAAATAGAATGCAATGCAATATAAAGTTGACATGTAATCTTAGCTGAGATTATGCCACTGCACTCCAGCCTGGGTGACACGGTGTTATCCTCTCGAAATAAGGAATGGAATGCAGTGGAGTTAAATGGAATGGAATGAAAGGAATGGAATGGAGTGGAATGGAAAGGACTGGAGTAGAGTGGATTGGCGTGGAGGGGAGTGGAGTGGAATGAAATGTCGTAAAGTGGAGTGGAATGGAATGGAATGGAATGGAATGGAATGGCATGGAATGGAGTGGAGTGGAATGGAATAGAATGCAATGCAATGTAAAGTTGACATGTAATCTTACCTGAGATTATGCCATTGCACTCTCACCTGGGTGACACTGTGATATCCTGTTGAAAGAAAGGAATGGAATGAAGTGGAGTGAAATGGAATGGAATGAAAGGAATGAAATGGAATGGAATGGAGTGGAGTGGAGTGGAATGGAGTCGAATGGAATGGGATGGATTGCAGTGGAATGGATTATAGTGAAGTTGAATGGAATGGATTGGAATCAAATGGAGTGGAGTGGAGTGGAATGGAGTGGAGTGGAGTGGAATAAAGTGGAGTGGAGTGGAATGGAGTGGAGTGGAGTGGAGTGGAATGGAATAGAGTCGAGTGGAATGGAATGGAGAGGAGTTGAGTGGAATGGAATGGAGTGGAATGGAATTGAATCAGTAGAGTGTAGTGGAATGGAGTGAAGTGGAGTGGAGTGGGGTTGAGTGGACTGGAGTGGAATGGAATTGAGTAGAGTGGACTGGAGTGGATAGGAGTGGAGTGGAGTGGAACGGAGTAGAGTGTAATGGAATGGAATGGCGTGGAGTGGAAAGAAGTGTAATGAAATTAATTGGAGTGGAGTGGAACGGAGTGGAACGGATTGGAACGGATTGCAATGGAAAGTTGACATGTAATGTGAGCTGAGATTGTGCCACTGCACTCCATCATGTGTGAAAAAGTAATGTCCTGTTGGAAGAAAAGAATGGAAAGCAATGGAATGAAATGGAATAAATTGGACTGGAATGGAGTGGAGTGGGGTGGAGTGGAATGAAATAAAGTGGAATGAAATGGGATGGAATGGAATGCAGTGGAATGGTGTAAAGAAATTTGAGCTGAGATTGTGCCACTGAACTCCCGCCTGTGTGATAGAGAGAGATCCTGTGGAAACAAAGGAATGGAATGGAATCGAGTGGAATGGAATTGAGTGGAGTGGAGTGAAGTGGAATGGAGTAGAATGGAATGGAGTGGAGTGGAATGGAGTGGAGAGGGGTAGAGTGGTGGGGGAGGGAGTGGCGTGGATTGGATTGGAGTGGAGTGGAGTGGAATGAAGTGGAGTGGAGTGGAATGGAGTGCAGTGGAGTGGAGTGGAAATGAGTGGAGTGGAATGGAAT